>NC_000003.12:126887392-127038907 GCF_000001405.40 Homo sapiens | reverse complement strand
CCTCTGGATCTGCTCTGGGTGGAGGGTGCCTCCATCCCACCCAGGCCCACAGGCTGGCCTCGCCCTTGCTCTGCAGCAAGCCCATCCAGGTGCCCTGCTCAGAGCCACCAGCATTAATAGCTGATGGTTTAATACCCTCAGGAGCCAGCGCACTCAAGCAGCAATCAGAAGGCCCCATCACCGCTGCTGTGTAATTGCGCCCGATCACTCGCACAGCGAGCGCTGATTGCGGCTCAGAGATGGCTCAGCTTCCAGGCTGATGGGCTGGAGCCCTTGGAGGCCTAATGAGGGTAATTGAGGATGGGCTGATTGTGCCGGAAAAAAGCTGAAGGGGACTGAGCCATGAGAACAGGCTGCGTCACACCCTAAACGGGACCACATTTGCTAAATTTGTTTCCGACACAATTTCGTGGTGATTACACTGATTTCTCTTGAGTTACTGAGCCTGGCACAGAGCTTGTGCTTGCAGCCCCACTGTCAAGATGCGCCTGTTTGAGAGTGGGAGGTATTGTTGATGACTTATGGGCCACTGTCAGCCCTGGGAACGAGTTCATGGAGAGGCTGGTGGGAGACAGGTGGGAGCTTGGGGGCGGTGGGGAGGGCCTGGGGTCCCAAGGGCCTACGTTTGGGCGGGCTGCTGCTTACCACCATGTGGCTGGGACACATTGTGCAACCTCTGTGTGCCTCAATTCCTCAGCTGCAGGTGCAGCTGCCCCTAACCTCCCAGGGTTGCCGGGAAGTCCCAGTGAGTTCACTTACAGGCAGTGCTCAGACGGTCCAGGTTGGGGTCTGCCTGGAGGCGCAGCTGCAGAGCAGGTGCCCAGGGCCCTTGGGGATGTGTCACACCTGACCCTGCACCCACCCTCTGCGGCAGGAGCAGCCACCCCTGTTGAGCCATGGATGAAATGAGCCCAGGGACGGGGCCACTGACCAAAGCCATGCACTGGCAGAAGCTGCATCCACACCTCCATCATTAGTATCTGTACACATTTTCATGAGATGAAGCAGCATAGCCTGTCTCTGCTGGAAAGACCAACATTTCTCAAACCCGGTTCCTTGGCTGCGAGTCTGGGAAACACAATTCCAGCCTTGGCTACTGAAGGCAGGGGGCCCAGGACTGCAGCCTCAGCTCCCCCAGGCTGTCGCTCATGGGCCCCTCGGGGTCAGAATCTGATTTTAGTTAACAAGGCACCCAGGAATTCCTGCCTCACGGCATGGGCTGGAAGCCACTGCTCTGAGCTAGGGGTCACGGGAGAATCGCCTGGGAAGCATCTAAAAGTGACCACCGCTCAGACCCCTGAAGCTCCAAGGCTCCAGTGGGGGTCAGGCACTGGTGTTTTAGTCTCCGCCAAGGGCTCCAATGTGTCACCTGGGCTGAGCGCACCCAACTCACAGAGTGTGGCCATCTGTCCTGGGTGTGGCTGAGTCTCCCAGGGAGATATGCTTCCGTGTTTGGGATGTGGCTGCACTCCTGCGGCCGCCCCTGCTTCCCAGCAAGGAAAACCTGGAGCCAAGAGCTTTTAGCAAAAATGTTTAATCTCTCCTTAATGTGTGTGTTTATTTACAAGTACTAAATCTGAAGAACAGTAAAATAGGAAATAGCCGTATATGTACACATCTGAGGGCCGGGCCCACAGTCAGCGGTGCTGCTTCTGCAAAGAGCCCGGCTGAGGGTGCCCGCCCGGACCGTCCGAGGGATCGCTCTTCTTCTGGGAGGGGGTTCTGCGGTGTTAAAGGACAGCTAATTGTGGGCTTTGTCTTAAAAATATCTCTCTCTCTAAATATATCTATTCTAGCTGTGTAGCACCAACGTGAGCCACTGAATCCAGACAGGGAGAAAGCCAGGGCGGAGGCTCTCAGCAAGGCCGAGCCGAGATGGCACGCCGCTCCGGGCTCTCTCCCGGACTCGACGCTGCAGGTCGTGGGGCCCCCAGCCCCTCAGGCCAAGGGGCCAGTGGTCCTGGGGCTGGGGAGCACAGGGGAAGCTCGAGGTATATCAAGAGGCCAGGCTCCCAGGCCGAGGCGTGAGCTTTTCCAGCACTCCTGAGCCAGGCGCGGGGAGAGGGAGGACACGGAGCAGGGTAGGAGGTGCTGCAGGAAGCAAGTGGCGGCAGCAGCACGCCAGGTGGGTGCCAGTTTCACAGCACATGTGCCGCAGCCCTGGCTCCCTGCAGACACAGGGCCCATGGGAGCCGCTCACCGCTGCTGGGCACAGAACGGCCTCCAACTGCAGCTCCTACCAGGGCCTCCAGCCCCAGGCCAGAGCTCCCAGGTGCTGCACAGTTAGGAGCACAGTGGGAACCAGTGACAAGTAGGGACTGGGGCCTAACTCCACGACCTGGCAGAGGGAGGTACGGAGTAGCTCGGAGACTGCTGTCCCAGTAGACAGCACAGGTAGTCGGCTTGATCCTTGCGCATGTAAACAGATACTGCTAAAGTGCTTGCGCCTAGACACAGCCATGTGCTCTGTGGTGGCCACGCCCCAGCCACACGCCCATGTGGGAACTGCTTCATGAGGCCTGTGGTGCACCCCCTTCATCACCACTGCCGTCCCCACCACCCGCCCATGCTACTCACATGGACAAGGGCAGCCTGGCAGGGCAGAGCAGAGCACAAGGCCTAAGGAGAGTGGGGGTTGGAACTGGATTCTGAAGGTGATGCAGGAGCCCCTACCTAACCCGTGAGGAACTGGAAGAACCAGGGACTTCAACCTGAAGCCAGCATCCAGGGAAGACTTTGGGGGAAACTGAGGTTCCCACCCCACCATAGCCAGGAAACATCAGAAGGGAGGTGGAGGCGCACCCAGGAACAGGAATCCCAGCCAATGCTAGGGGCTACTGAAAAAAACAGCCCAGCCACTGTAATATGGACTGGCCTCAGCTCTGGCCCCCAAGACTGCCCAGGGAGTAAGCCCACCCCCTCAGTGGGCTGGGGGCAGGGGCTGGCCCAGGCCTGAGCTGGGTGTGGCAGCAGCAGAAGGCCCCAGCCCTGGCACAGTGCCCACGGGGCCAAGGAGCTCCCTGAGTCAGCAGTCACTGACTCCACACCGACCCGCGTTCAGGGAAGAGGCGGGTCTCTGTGGCGTCATCTGGCTCACGCTACTCAGCTGGGGCGGACTGCAAGACTGGCACACCCCATGGGGCCGAGTCCTCTCCTTGGGCCTGGCCAAGGACATGGGGCTGAGTCTGGCCACAGTTAGCTGTCCCTTAATGTCCATGGGATCTTCGGTACCATCAAAAAAGTGACCTTGAAAAGGGGATGGACCGCTTGTTTGCTTTTACAAGTGACTGATTAATTAAAAAACATAAAAAAGGGTCTAACAACCTCTAGTATTCAACACTTGCAGTTTTAAAAAGATCAACTCAGACTAAACGCTAGCACAATCATGCATGCCCCGTGGTGCCGCGGCACCCCAGAGGCTCTCAGGGTCAGCAGGAAGTCCTTTCCTTGTCATGTCAAACCAAAACAGCGGCCCGCAGGTCGGGGGGCACAGGCTTCAGGGCTGCTCCACTCCAGGGAGGCTCCGGCCACTTTCTCCACAACCATTTGGCATTGCTTTCCCACTGCCTTCATTTTCTTGTTCAAATCGTCTTTAAAATTCTTCTTCAGTTAACTGTACAGTACCCCACTGGGGCTGGAGCCTGAGGCTAGAGCCACATATATATATATGCATATATATACATGTACAGCTTTCTTTTAAGAATGCATTCTCTCTTGCTGAGGGCAAGGGTGGACACCGCTGGCCTCCAGTCCCTCTGGTCACTGCCCGTCACTCATGGCCCAGATAGATCCAGGCCACTGCGGGCCAGAGGAGCCCTGCCACAGACCTCAAGGCCCAAGCAGAGTGCAGCAGAATTTTTTCCCCTAAACACAAAAACAGTCCCCAGATGTCCCACTGCTCTGGAGGGGCCAGGACACTGCTGAGATGCCACACTGGAAGCCGCTGGGGCAGGGACAGAGAGAGTGGAGAGAGAGGAGTGCTCAGGGGCCGCCCTCAGGGGCTCCAGGGTGGGGAGCTCAGCCTACCCTTGAAGACAGCTGCCAGGGCAGCCTGTGTAGGACGCGGAGGGGAATAAATAACGGGAACGTGCTCTCTGCGACCCGGGGCCCCTGGCCCAGTGGCTCCCAGAGGCACAGCCCTGAGGACGGAGAGGGGCTGCCCGGTCCGTCTGGAAGCCACCCAGGAGTCTGAGCAGCCTGGCCCACAGCCCCTCCATAGGAGGGAGCAGAGCCTCTCTGGGGCGAGGTGGATGTGGTGCTCCGGCCTCGGCCGCGCAGAGCACGCGGTGAATCTGAGGATGGCAGCGGTGCAGCGGGCATGGGTGCTGGAGGTGGGAGTCGGTGGCAACGGGCCCAGACCGACTTGAGCTCCTCTTGCCCGGCTACGGGCTTTTTGCCTCTTTCTCCAGCTGCCAACCGGGCCCCGGGACCCTCAGACTCTGCCGCCTGGGGGCAGCTTGGAAAGCTGGGAATGCTGACACCCCCAGCCTCTTGTCCTGGTCTCAAGGGGACAGCCCAAGCTGGCTACCCCTCCCCCTGGAGGGCCCTGGCCTCACCCCTCAGCCCCTCAGAGGTCAGCCCTTCTCCCATGAAGGCCACTGGGCAGCTCTTGCCAGGCAATGAAGGTCCTTGGCCAGCCTGAGCACCCAGTGCTGTCCCGGCCCCTGAGCAAGCAGCTGTGTGCGCAGCTGTGGTGTGGCAGGTACCATCACCTCCACACAGGAAGAGCCGGGACCCGACCGGGTGAGGCAGGGGAGGGAGGGCCGGGCAGTCGCTGCACTGCGGCGGCCCGAGCACCACCGGACACTCCACACGCATGCGGTGAGGGCTGTCCCGGTCCCTGCTCAGCTGTCCTCACGCTGCATCATGCTGGATGATCACAGCTGGGGCTCAGCTGCTCAGGGCCATCGTGTCCACCACCTGCTCCAGCTTGCTCCGCAGCCGCTGCCGCCGCGCCTGCTCATCCTTCTCCAGGGCTGCCAGGATCTGCAGGGCCAGGAGAACTGTCAGCATGCCGGGCCACCAGCCTCCATGCACTCAGCAGGCCCAGGGCAGATGCCTCCAGAGTAGGTGCCAGAGGTTCAACCCCATCTACCCCTGGCCAAAGGACCTTGGTTGTGAGCCTGGACCCTCCAGGACCCCAATATGGAGAATGAGCCCTGCCCCTGTCATCATCCTACTCTCACCCCCTAAAACAGCAGGCTCTGATCCCTTGGCTGCCTGGCCATGCTGCTGACATGTCCCCACCCAGTCCTCACACCCTGGGGTTTCTGTGCCCCTTTAAAGCAGAGCTCCCCAGAGAGCCTCAGCTCCCCTTTCCCTGGTGAGCCCCAGGACCCCAGGCTTTTGTCCCCACTCCCCACCCTAATACATGCAGTCTCTGGCTGCTCCTCTGCTCCCCTGGGGCACCTGCCTGAGGACAGCCCTCTGCCTCCTGTCTGCCTCCTGTGGCACCCTGGGGAAGGTTCCTTGCCTCTGCTGCACCTGCCCTGGCCTCCCCAGGGTGGCTCTGGTTCACTCCCGTGGCCTTCTTAGCCCTCAGAGCCTTGGCACAGGCCGAGACTGTCCTGCCCTCTGGCCCCGTGCTCCCATCCTGTGCGGCCCAGGAGCCAGTTCTCCTTCCTGGATACCTCCTGGACCCCGTCCCCAGGTCCATGTACGTGGCCTCACTCCAAGTCAGCAGAAAAGATACTGAAAGGAAAGCTCTGCCAAGAGCCTATGCCCAGCCCTGGAGATGCTGGCCCAGACTAGAAAACCCTGAAATGAGCCCCTCAGGGAAGTTGCTCACCACCCACACACCCTCTGCCTCAGGAAGAAGCTGCCATCCCATCTTCCCCACCCCTGACCCCACATGGCTGCACACAGTGACTCCACCACGGCCTTCTCTGCTCGGCCTGGCAGGCTCCCTCCTGGCCCCAAGGAACCAGGTGGCCAGAGGGTGCAGAGGAGTGAAGGTGGTCAGTGGCAGCCCAGAGATTCAGGGAGGAGTGGCAGGGCGGGGCAGAGCAGGTGACTCTGGCAGGGGCCGGCAAGCCCTCCTAGCCCAGCCTGTGGGCTCCCACGGTGTTCACCTCATCCTTGTACTTGGTGATGTAGGAGTAGATCTCGTGCAAGGCGCTCATGCTGTTGAACTGGCTCAGGTGCAGGCGGGACTGCTCAGCCAGATACGCACTCATGTCCTGGTCGCTGATGGCTGGCATCTTGGCGATGTCTGCATAGTACCTGCAGGTGAGTGGCCAGGTGGGCACATGAGCAGAGTCCAGGCTGCCCCCGGGCCCCTGCCCCCGACCCCTGCACCCTCCACCTACCTCTCCACCCAGCTCTTGTAGTTGGGGATGTCCTTGGCGTAGAGCAGCTTGTTGGAGGGTGAGTCCTTGCCCAGCTTGTGCTCAGAGGTGGAGCAGGAGTCCATGAAGGTCTGGGCCACCACCGACAAGCAGGCGTCCGTGATGCTGTTCTTGTGAATGTCGAACACAAACTGTGGGTTCTTGATCACGTTCACCCAGAAGCGCAGGGGCAGGCTGCAGGCGAGAGTCCAGGCGCTGCTCAGATAGGCCTCTGCTCCCTCCTGAGCAGTGACCTTGTGGCCCTCCCAGCTCCGAATCCAAAGTGGGCATGGCTTTCCATGCAGACGGGGAAACGAGGCCCACAGAGGTGCAGGGCCCATGGTTAAGTGAAGGCCGTCCCCTGCCACCCAACCAGAGATGTGCTGCCCCCACCACCTGCATCTCACGCAGAGCATCATGAGATAGGCGTGCTCAAACGCACTCGTTTGCACAAGGGCAAGATGTGACCAGGCCCTCAGGGGCCCACTCCACACAGCCACCACCCTCCTAGGCCTGCATGCTGGCTTGCACTCATGGCTCCTGCACTGAGACCTGCAGCTCAGCTCCGGCCCAGGGGACCCATTCCTGCAGAGACCAGCCCTCTGTGCCCCAAACACCACCTCAGGGACTGCCATTAGCTGGGCTGCCTGGCAGCACTGGCCACACGTGGCTGCTTAACTTAAATGAAGTGAAGAGCCCAGACACTCAGCCACACCAGTGCCATTTCAAAGGCTCAGGAGCCACCACCCTGGACAGCACGGGTCTAGAATGTTCCACTGTGACAGAACATTCTCCAAGAACATGCTGACCTGGAGACACTGCGTCCCTGGAGGCCCCACCTCCCGCTGTGCCCAATCAGCATGGCCCAGGAGAGGGGCTTCGTGACACTTCATTTAAATCCTAGACTCCGCGAGCAGTGGGCGGAGCTGGGACAGGTTGGGGTGGCTGCATCCCAGGTTTGGGAAGCAACACATGGGATGGACAAGACCAAGTCGGGGGTGGCTGCTGGCCCGGGAGCCAGCAGAAGTGGCAGGGACAGTCCAGGAGAGAGGGGAGCTAAGACAGTGGAGAGTGTGCACAGAACTGGGGGGAGACCCCAGCAGGATGCACGGTGAGGAGGGGCACTTCCTGGTGAAGCAGGGTCCAGCCATACAGGCAAGGGCATCCACCTGACCCCAGGTGTGGGGGAGCAGTCCTACCCCAGAAGCCCTCGGCCATGCAGGTAGAGGGGCCTGGTGCACAGAGAGGGGCTCCCCTGTAGCAGGCAATGGTGGGGTTGTCTGCTGGGGTGGGGGCCACACACACAGCAGGGA
The DNA here is from genome assembly GCF_000001405.40 of Homo sapiens. Lineage (NCBI taxonomy): Eukaryota > Metazoa > Chordata > Mammalia > Primates > Hominidae > Homo > Homo sapiens. The sequence continues at coordinate 127,031,268 of NC_000003.12, read as the reverse complement.
CCCGCTCCAGGGGCTAGGGTGTGGCTACAGTGTGCCAACCGGAGCAGGGGGCCACAGACCAGAGCTTGGGGGTCCTGAGTAAGGAGTGAGGCCAAGGGCTGGCCTGCCTGTGTGGCAGAGAGGAAGCCAACATTGCTGAGTTGGGCAGTCCATGACCAGGGAAGAAGCAGGTCACTGTCCCAGGGGTGGGCCAGGCCGGAGGAAAGCAAGGGACTGGCTGGCCAGGGAGGCAGATACTCTGGAGGGAGGCCACTCAGAGGCTGGGTGCCTCTTCATAACAAAACCCAGCCTCATAGAGCCCCAGCTCACATTGGTGTAGCTGTGCACGGTGCAGGCTGGGCAGGCCCTGCTCCGTACTCCAGCTGCTCCGTGAGACCGTGGCAAGTGGCTCGGCCTCTGCGCCTCAGTAAGCAGGCTCTGGCCTGGCCCCACACTGCAATGGGGAGGCTGTAAATTCCTCGCACTAAAGACTACCAGGAGTACCTGCAGTCCCTGTTGCCCTCATCACTGCAACCAGCCGGCTTGGGGCTGGTCCACTGTGCCCTGTTTCTCACGCTGCAGCCCACACTCATGTCCGCACAGCTGTGCACACCCAGAGCCACTCACACCTGCACACAGTTCCTGCAGCAGTGGGAGGGGCTCAGCGGCTGGAGCAGAGGGCGAGCCGTGGGTCAAGGGGCACAGGCAGATAGGGAAGGCCAGTTAGCACAGGACTGGCCCGCCATGCCCCTGCTGGGTTGTGTCCCCACGCCAGGGAGCCCCAAGTGGGGGCTCCGGATCAGAACAGGGCGAGGGCCCTGGGAACACATCTGGCCTGGCCCTGGGGGATGCCCCTCCTCCCCCTGCCCTGCATTACCAGTTGCTCTTCCAGGTGTGGCGCACGTCAGCATCGTGGATCTGGTGCTTGTCGGCCTGCTCATCCAGGAAGTCGAACATGTACTTGATGGCCAGCGGCAGGGCTGAGCCCCGGTGTGCCGTGCTGAAGATGGTCTCAAACAGGTCGTCCACAAACTTCTGCAGTGTGCCCTGCGGGGGGCAGGCAGGGACACTGAGCCCCAGGGCGCTGCCTGGCTGCCTACACCTCCTGGGTGACTAGGCAAGTGGCCATGGGAGCATGGGGGTGAGGCCCTTGCTCTGGGCTTGGCACTTTCTCTGAGCTCAGTTGGCCCAGCGTCCCCTGCCCCCATCTGCCAGCCAGGCCCACCTTGGTGGCCAGTAGCCGTGTCAAGTAGATCTCCGAGACCATCTTGCTGCCGCGGTCACCCTCACGCTGGTCCAGGTGGTCGTGGTTCTTCACCAGGTGCCACAGCTTGGTGCCGCTCTCCAGGTCGGGCGTGATCATGGGCGTGCGCGAGCGCAGGCTGTCGGGGCTGCTGGCCGTGCGCAGCATGCTCTCTGCAGCACCAGGCTGTCAGCGCCCGCGTTGGCTGGCACCCCGCACCCCCCGCCCGAGCCTGTTTCCCCATCTGAAAGCTGGGGATGGCACCCCCACCCATGTGGGATTTTGGGGCAGCCGATGACACCACAGAGGTGGCATAATTGTGTACGGACACACAGTCGCGAGGAGGCGCAGCCTCCAGAGCTGGAGGGTAAGGCCAAGAGTGCGAGTGACAGGCTTGACACCTGCCCCTGGGTCCTCCCGTCCGGCTGCTGCAGCGTGGGAGCCCGGGGGACGTCCTGCCCAGGCCAGGGACCCATGCGCTGCCCTCTCGCCCGCTGCCTGGCCCCTCACCGTATCTGCTGAGGGACTTGGTGAAGGTGGAGGAGTTGGAGATGTTGTAGGCGGACGTCTGCTTGGGCACCAGTGCCACCGAGGACCCGTCTGTCACCTGTGGGCAGAGGGCCAGGGACCCTGTGACCCACCAGGGTGCCCCTGCACCACCAGGCTCCCACTCCCCGGCTGGGGACCCCGGTGACACCCTAGTGCTGTGCCTGGAGGCAGCCACCTCACTCAGTCTGGAACTCTATATCAGGACAGCCCAGGGATGCTAGGCAATCCCACAAGCCCAGCTCGAGTCCTGGGACGGTCCACACACATAAGTGACCACCTCCCCTCCTCTCCCTGACAGATCCAGCTGCTGTCCAGCCCACATGCTGCAAACATTGGTGGCTGCGCTGTGGAAGCCCCAAGGGGAGGGAGGCCTGTGCTAGGGTCGGAGGGCCGGGAGCCACCTGGTAGTGAGCCAGTGTGTTCAGCCTCTTCCAATCGTTGTCAATCTTGGTGGTGACGTCCTCGTCCTGCAGGATGATGCGCGCCATGCGGCCCTGGCGCCACTCTGGGGGAGGAGGGAGCTGGAGGGTGGGGCCGCTGGGGCCCTCTTTCCCTCCTCCATCACAGCAGTGTAGTGGGACGGGGCCTGCCTGCAGCTCTCAGCACCAGCACAGGGCAGGGACATACCTCCGCCCCTGCTGCAGCACACTTAACCTGCCATAGTCCCCTGCAATGTGCCACAGCCCTCCCAATCTGCCACAGCAGCCCCAGCCTAAGGGGGTCTGCCCTGCCTTCCGCAAGCCTTAGGGCCCCAACTCCTCAGCCTGGCACCGAGGCTTCTGTGGGGACCCAGCCTCTCCAGTCACATCTGCAGCAGGACTCCGGGCCCCACCCCAAACCCGTCCCATCCCCTCTGGCCCTCAATGGCTCCACCTGCCCCTCTCATGAGCCTGAGTATCCCCCTCAGGGCTCCAAGAGCCCACTGCCTCCCAGAGTGCACTGGAACCCACCACCTCCCAGAGTCTCTGCCCAGAGCAGGGCAGCCACCCTCTATACCCAACCTGGGACTGGACAGCCCACTCGCCATTCCACTGCCCTCCAGACCAGCCTGGTGTGGAGGACTGGCCTGGCCTTCCCCGCCAAGCTCAGTACTAGGCCATGGCCCTGCCCCTCTGCTCCAGCACACACCCCGGGCAGCCGTGGCCCCGCCCGCTCACCCAGGTCCATGTCCGCGGCCTTGGGCCGCTGGGAGTAGGGCACGCCCTTGTAGGCAGCGTCCAGCAGCTTCTCCTTGGCCTGGGTGACCGTGTCACAGTCCAGCCCCTTCACCGGCACCTCAGGTGCATTCTCATTCTCAGGGTTCACACAGTTCAGGGTCTGCGGGCGGGGTGGAGCAAGGGGGCAGCGTCAGCCCCACAACTGGGGGGTGGGGGGCACCAGGGCACCCAGGACAGAGGGCAGCCACGCTCACCAGTGTCTTGTAGTCAATCTGCTGCCGGATGAGCTTGTCCTCACTCAGGGAGTAGCGTGCCTCACCCGTGATGGCGTCAATGGGGCCCTTCTCCATCTGCTGCTTGATGGCGCAGTACAGCATGAACAGCGGCTCCCCAGCGCACTCCTGCGGGGGTGGCGGCATGAGGCTGCAGCCAGGACCCCCGGGCCTACCCCCAACCTGCCCCTCCACCCGTCGAGTGCCAGCCATGGTGTTCCTGGCAAGGAGAAATGAGCAGCACTTCCCAACTCTTTGGGAGGCAAGTACAGCCTTAGTCCCAAAGCCCAGCAGAGACTGCAAGAAAATCAGGAAACAAAACATACCCACCATCCCACAAATATCACATGAAAACCCTAAATTACACATGAGCCAGGAGGCGCAGTAGTGTATCGAGGAACATGGCGTGGCACGCGGGACCTGCATCAGGGAGGGCCGAGGCCTATTTCACCCAGAAGTCTCCCCTGGTCTCAGCAGGATCCCCGCCTAGCTCCAGCCTCCCAGGGGCCTGCTCCCCAGCTGGAGGTGCTCAGGACAAAGCTCCCCATGGCCCACCGCCCATGGCACAAGCGGACCCCATACTACGCAACTCCAAGTGTGACTGTGATCCACTGGCCTCCTAGGGACCACCCAGCTGGGCCCCCATATTACTCTGGGACACAACTATGGTGTGTCATGGATACTGACATACCCACCTGAGGAGGCTTGCCCACCCAGGGAGGTTCACCAGCACCCAAGCACACAGCACAGGGCCAGCAGCACAGCCCCGGGCCCTCAGCGGGCACCTGACCCCTCACCCTCCGGCTCCCCGCGCTGTAGCATGAGAACCGCCTCCTGTCCCACCTCAGGGCCTTTGCAACTGCTGCCTCTACAACCAGAAATTTCCCCTGGCATCTTCATGGGCCCTTGTGGACCCAACCCAATGTGCCCTCTTCAGAAAGGCTCCTGGGGAGCGCCCAGCACACGTACCCCCGACCACTGCCTCGCTGAGTCTCCCCGCCATCTGTCGTTCTCTGAAGGATCCTGTGCACCCCTGGCAACCCCTCTGGAGTGGGAGCTGCCTGGCCTGCTCACTATACCCTACTGCTAGCACTGGCTGAGCCTGTGCATGGGGCATCACAGACACTTGCTGGATGAATTGAGTGAATGGAGAGCTGTCCCTGGGAAACGTTCACGTCTGGGCTGGGTGAGTTGGCCACACAGGCGAGGCCCGCCCAGAGCCTGGGCATGGGGTCCACTGTAGGTCCTGCCTGCCCAAGGGCCTTCAGGTGTGTGTACACCTCAATGGAGGGGCAGGTTTGGCAGCCCTGCCTCCTACCCGGCCCTGGCAAACAAACAGCAGCTCTGCTCCTGTAACCAGAGGCTCCAGGCACCTCGTTAGCATCTGCGGTAATTAGAGAGACAGCTGTTAAGACCATCCCAGACCTTCCAACAACATGTCTGTCTATGAAATTATGTTTCATTTGCAAACTTGGTTTCATTAAGTTAGCCACGAAGGAGGAGGAAAAGGGGTGCAGATCCGGATGGAGAGCCATTAATGTGACAGGAAGCCTTTGAGGGTTTCCCAAAGTCAGACACCTGTCCGAGGGTTCCCAGGCCTGGCCTCAGAGAGTGAAAGGACGGCAGCTAGTCTCTGAAGGTCAGGGCAGTGCAGATATTGGCCCAAGGTCACACAGCAAGAAACTGGAGAAGCCAAGATCTGAACCCAGATCCAGCTGACCCCAAAGCACCTGCCCCATACAAGCCAGGTGTACCCAGAGAAGGCTCAGGCTGAGCCGGGCATTCACACTCAACCCAGGCAGCAGGCCCCGCCCCACTCCACCCACTTCTTCAGCCAGGCCAGCCTAGAGGCTGCAAAGGAGGTTCCAAGAGCTCAGAGGCCAGGGAAGAGGAAGGCCCAGTCCTTTTCTTGTCGCAGCCTCAATCTCTCGTGCAGTGACGGGGAAAAGGAAGACCTCAGACTCCTCCCAGCCCCACTCAGGAATGTGCAAAAACTGCCCAACAAAAAGTGCCACTTTTCAAATAGAAGGATAATATGGGCAGTTCAATAAATGACATTACGACAAGCACTTCTCCATCCTCCCTTCCAGGTTGTTTACATGTGCTAAAATGGCATGGGTTCCTTTTCTAGTTAAAGTTTTTGTTTCTAAAGACAGCAAGGAATGAAAAGGATTTGGGTTGTTTAAAAAGAGTTTGTGTTCTCAAAGTTCATCCATGTTGCAGCATGTCAGAATTTCCTTCCTTTCTAAGGCAGACTACTATCTCATTGTATGCACAGACCACATTTTGCTTATTCATTCATCTGTCGATGGACACCTGGATTGCTTCCCCATTAAGCTGATGAAATTAAGCCAGCCACGAAAGGACAAACAATGCATGATTCCACTCATATGAGGTCCCTAGAGCTGTCAGATTCACAGAGACAGAGAGTAGAATGGTTCCAGGGGCTGGGGAGGAAGGAACAAGGAGTGGGTGTTCAATGGGGACAGAGTTTCAGTTTCACAAGATGAAGAGTCATGGAGCAGGTGGCCATGGCCAACACCGCTGTAAATGCATCCAATACCACTCAACTGTGCACTTAAAAATGGTTAAGATGGTAAATTTTATGTCATGTGTATTTCACCATAACAAATTTTTTTAAGTTTGTGGCACACTACAAAGAAATGAGCAACAAGCTATGAAAATAAATAAAGGAACCTTCAAAATAGATTACGAAGTGAAGGGAGCCAGTTTGAAAAGGCTACGGTAACAGTGCACGATTCCACTACATGACATCTGGAAAAGGCATAACTTATGGAGACAATGAGATCAACGGGTGCCAAGGGCTCAGGGGGAGGGAGAGATGACAAGTGAGCTCAGGGGATTTTTAGGGCAGCGACACTATTCTGTGTGACACTATAACGGTGGATACATGGCATCCTACGTTCATCCAAACTCACAGAATGCAGAGCACCAAGAGTGAGCCCGCACAGAAACGAGGGGCACTGGGTGGTGAAGATGTCTCCTGGCAGGTTCACTGACTGGACCAAATGCACCCCTCTCCTAGGGATGCTGACAGTGGGGAGACTGTGCATGTGTGGGAGCAGCGGGCGCATGGGAAACCTCTGTACCTTCTGTTCAATTTTACTATGAATCTGGAACTGCTCTAAACAATAACATCTATCTTAAAAAAGACAAAAACAAAAAAACCCCAGATATGGTGGCAAAAACAAAAAGTCACTGGCCAGTTATGTGGATGGAAACAGCCCTAGGCCCATCTCAGTCCCATCCAGGGGGCGCCCAGCTCCAGCATGTCTGTCTGCGCCTCTCAGCCTCAGGCCATGTCCTTGCGCCCAGTACGTGTCCTCCCTTGCATATATAGGGGTCCTCCTAGAACTGGAGGAGGGCAGTGATGACCTAAGGAGATCTAACAGCTCCTGGCCCCTGCCTGCCCCCGACACTGGTACCCCACTAACAACGAGGGTGGGCTGGGGTCATGGGCATGGGCTGTGAAGCCCCCAACACACAGCCCGCACCCCTTGTACCTGCACCACTCCCACCCAAATGGTCACCCCTGCCTCCCTCCTCCCTGTGTCCCCTTCCTATGGCTCCCTTGGCCAAGACTGGCCTCCCTCTCCCTCCCTCCACTGCCCACACATCCCTCAGCGCCTGTCCCAAATGTCCCCGGCTCTCCATGGAATGTCTGATCCGGCCTAAAGACAACCCCTCCACAGTGCCCCACTGCCACCCTCTCTGCTTATAATACCCTGTGGGGCCACACTCTGCGCTGGCTGAAGCTGGCCCCCTATATCCTGGCATGAAAGAGAATCCACACCCAACGTCGGTGCTTATAGGCATTTGCTGCCCTGAGCCCTGTCTCTGTGGGTGTGGAGAATCGGGATCAGACAGGGACTCAGGTTAGCGGTGCCCTCTCCACCTCACCCAGGACGCCTGCTGCTTTAGGCTCACAGAGCCCAGCTTACCCAGCATGCACACATACTATGCAGTCTTCATAGAACTGTACTTTCTACAGGACACGCACGACTTTGTGTTACCTGCTTCCAGTTCTGCCTAAGGATGTTATCATCTACTGGGCACTTACTAGGTGCCAGGGACTGCTATATACACATAAATGTCCCACCTCCAGAGACGACCCAGGACAGACAAGCCCAGCCCCTGCCTATCCCACCTGGGGCCTTCTCCCCAGTGGCCTCTTCTGCCTGGGACTCTCTTCCCTCCCCCCGCCTGGTCTTCAGACCTCTGCTCGAATCCCACCCTCCCTGCTCGGCCCTGCCCCATTGCCTGTCTGCTGTATTTCCCGTCCAGTGTCTCTCCCGGCAGCGAGGATGTCTGGCCAGGACTCCGCTCTGTGCAGGCATCTGTGCGCTGATCACCTGAGCTCAGCAGCATCTGGCTGCAGGAGGCCTGAAAGCCCCACGGCCCAGAGACAGAGGTGCCATCCCTGGATTCCATAAGGAAACCAGGAGAATCGAACCCAGGCAGTCAGTGCCAGCTCCCACCCTCGATCACTGGGCTACACTGTCAGTCACCCTCACCCACAGAGCAGCGACAGGGACCACTGAAGCCAGGCGAGGAGCATGCACTTCACCATGCACACACCGGGCTCCTCCCACCTCTCAGGAGTGGGCTAACCAGGCCTTCAGATTTCCAAGAGAAGCCAGATACCTGAGTCTGTAAAAGTCCCAACATCGAAAGTGCAGACAGCAATTCAACTGCTTACTGCCCAGATAAAGCCCACCCAGATCCCCATCCAGCCTGGGCCCTGGCCTGCAGTCTCTGGCCTACACCCTGTTCCTGTTCTGAGGACGGCAGCATCCTTCTGCTGGGGGGTGGGAGGGGCTTGAATGGACAGCACAGGGGAAGCCCAGTGCGGTCACCTGTCCCCATGACAGGTGGTGGACTGGAGCCTTCAGGCACCCCCAGGCTGGCCCCTCAGAGGCCCCTGCCCAGGGTGCCCCCACCCTCCTGAGCCCAGGCCAGCTGTGGGCACTGAGAGCCTGTATCCGAACTCCCACACCTACCTTGGTGGGCTGTGTGAGGGCCTGACAGCCTCAGAAGGAGGGAGGAGGGAGCCGGGAGCCAGGAGCTGAGAGCGGCTGCATGCCCAGGGGCCTTGGCCCAAGCCAGAACTCGACCAAGACCCCACCAGCTGTCATTCTCCAGCACCTCCCACTAATCCCCACCTCTCTCCGTTTTCCCCTCCCGCTGTTCACCTGCCTCTGACACCTGCTTCCTCCCGCCTCTGCTTACCTTGAGGAACTTATACAAGAGGAAGGTGAACCAGTTAGTTAGCATCTTCTCTGCCACCGACTCAGTCCTGGGGAGCACAGAATATGGGCAGAGTGGTGTCATTCCAGCTGTCCAGCAGGCACAGGGCCCCTGCAGGCCTCACTCACCGATCCCACCCCACCCTGCCCCCCTTCCTACAGCACCGAAGGTCAGGTCTCGAAAGGCACCCACATGAGTGGGCAGCAGGCGCTTCAGGGGCTGCCATGGAGACCCCAGTCCTTCGCCCAGAGCCCAGGCCTGTGTGTATGGAGACTCCAGCCTGGGTCCTCACTATCAGTACCTAGGGAGGTGGCAGCTGAGCCTCAGAGGCCAGGTGAGTCCTCCCACCCCTGCCCGGTGGGAACTGCCACAGCAACGTCTCTGGGCCTGCTAGACCAACCTGTCCAAAGCTGGAGGCATGGGCCTGCCTCCCCCAACCCCAGTGCCCCCCAGGCTCACCGGCGCAGTAGCAGCTTGGGGTGGTTCTTGCTCTCCAGGTTCTTCTCGATGAGGTCGGAAAGCAGCTGCTTGAGCACGCCTGTGGCGTATTCCATCTCGCCCTGCAGGGCCGTCATGATGAGCGAGGCCACATTCCCGCGGTCGCGCATGGAGAAGCTGCGCTGTGCCTCCAGCGTGCGGATGAAGGTCAGCAGGAAGTGCTTCTTGGTCAGCAGCTGCCCGAACAGTGTCAGCGACTTCTCCACATTGGCCTGCACCTGAGGGAGCACACAGAGCTCAGACCACAGAGAAGCACCCAGCCCCAGCCCCCAAGCTGACCAGTGAGGGGCTGTCCAGGCCTGGCTGGTGAGGCAGGGCCCCATCAGAGGACAGGCCTGGAAGGCAAGTGACAAGTTGCCCTGACTCCTCAGCTCGGCGGGTCATTCCCAAGCTTCACCTGTCCTTAGCAAAATGGACACGACCTGGGTGCTGCCACCACTGCCTGTTGCCATCAGGGCAGCCTTGGCCACAGAGTCCCTGTGGCAGCCTGAGAAGCCCCTGCAAGCCGACATGACAAAGGTGTTACGAGTGCGGCTGGGTGCAGAATGAGAGGGGCTGCTCACGCCACCCTCTCCGTGACTGGGCCCTTTGAACAGCAACCCCTGCAGCGGGCCTGCAGCAGCTCAAAGGAAGTCCAACTCAATGCCCCCATCCACTGGGTACCAGGAGTGCATGTCTACCATCTCCCTCCGCCTTGACAATGATAACCAATGCACGACCAGTCTCTGCATCTCATGGATGAGGACACAAGGTTGGAGACAGGAAGAGGTTTGATTAGGGCCACACTGCAGGTAGGAAAAAGGAGTGGAGTAGAGGCATAGCTGGCTCCAGGGTCCCTACTCTCTCTCTCTTGTTCATACTAAGGTTTATCAGGGCAATATGTTCCCTATTAGGCAGAGCCCAGAGGCCACCAGTGATACCAGGCTCCCAGCCAAGGCCAACAGGTATCAGGCAGACAGGTAATGGCCCAGGCAGAACATACACAGTCACAGCTGAGAGAGACAGTGTGACAGACACAGCAAATGGAGGCACTGAAAGAGAGATACAACCTGGGGAGGCTGTGTAGCCCCGTGTGGCAGCAAGCCCAGGAACAGGATGGCAGCACTCAGCCACAGGCAGCCCAGGGCCCAAGGCGGGAAGGTCTGCTCAGTATCAGCTCAAAAGGGACTTCCCACCAACAGAGTCACCACAAGGGACATGGGCTCCCCAACATCCAAGGCACACGGTTGGGGGGTGCCCTCAGCTGGAGAGTGTGACTGAGCTAACCTGCCGAGCCCCTGGCCGTGGCTCGCCAAGGACTGGCTCCTAGCCTGCCTGCCGCTGGGGGCCTTTTAGGGGTGTGGGAGCCAGCCCTCTTTTCCCTCGCCAGGCTCGCTGCCAAGGTCTACGGGGCAAAGCCCTACTCTCTGAGACCCTGGTGCTATGCCAGCCACATGCTCCCCTCCCAAACCGCCATAGCAGACTTCATCAGGCACCCGCACCTCCCAGCACACGGCCCCTGCCCAGCGAGGCTTCGCATCCAGAGCCACCCAGGAGACCAGGCCAGTGGAGCCGCAGGCGGGACCCCCAACAGAGGCAGGGCCCAAGGGGCAGCCACCGGGGAGGTGCCAGAAGCCCAGGCTGACAAGTGGTTTGCTGGGATGAGGCCTGGCATCCCACGGAGGCCCTGGGGCCAGAGCCTCCTCCTGCCCTCTGGAGGTACTTTATGGAGCAGAGCCGTGCTGGCCATTCCCCTGCCCCAACCCCAGGGCTCAGGGCTCCACTGTGCTTGCCTGGTCTTGGTTCTGCCTCCCAGCACCTGCTCCCCACTTGGCTGAGCCCAGAGCCCTGCAGGCCTGGACCCTCCCCCAGGCCACACAGGCTGCCCCATACCATCCATCAGCACCCAAGGAGCCTCAAAGGCAGAAGATAGCAGCTGCCTCTGAGTTCCTGTGACCCCCCGGAGCCAGTGGTCCTACCTCCATCTCCTTGAGCACAGGGTGGTCCTCGATCCCAGGAAAGAGCACCCGCATGGCATATGTCCGGTAGTCAAGGAAGGGGATGCCGGCACCGTCCAGGTCATTGGTCAGCTCGTGGATGTCTGTCTGCAGCTCTGCAAAGGCTGTGGCCAGATGCGGCGTCAGGGGCAGCATGCCCTGGTGGCCCCGCTCCATGCCCCAACCCTCCCACTCTTGGGGCCTACATCAAATCCTGGCTCTGACACTTACTGGTTTCGTGATCTTAAGGAAACTACTGTGCCTCTTCGTCCCCCAGCTACTACAGCCCTAGCACAGGGATAGTAACTCTCCTCTGCAAGGTTCCCACAGGATCAAGCAAGACAAGGGCAGAGAAAGCATCAGCACCAGGGGCAGGCTGGGCAGGGCCTCCTGCATCTCAGACACTGGCAGTTAAGCGTAGAGCAGCTTTGGAGTTCGGGCTCCTTCCACCCGCTGTGAGGTGGTGGAGTGCGGCCAGGGGTGAGGTCCCAGGGCTGCAGGCTGTCCCCAAGCCCCCACACCATTGCATGCACATCTCGGGCCTGGTGCACCCTCAACATGGCCCACCCTGCTCAGGGCCAGCTCTGCCTCTGTCAGGAACAAAGGCAGGCAGGCCCTGACAGAACATTCCAGAGCTGTGAGGTGTCAGTCCTGTGGCAGCCCGAGGATCAGGCTATCTGATCAGAAGCCAAAGGAGTGCCAGGCAGGCTCTGGGGGACATCTGACAGGTTTAATTAAGAGCTGGAGTCTTCGTCTCCTGGGCATCGCTGCCAGGCGTCTAGTTATCTGCACCTGGCTGGCCTGGAGCAGCCACCAGCCACTGCATCCACACACGCCAGCCTCGCCAGACAGCCAGCCTCAGCAGGCGGGAGCACAAGGGAGGTCCAGGCCACCTGCCTCCCACCTGGCCCCAACACACACCTGCCTCCAGTCCCACCAGGGCTGCCCAAGAGGTAGGGTGACCCTCAGCCCACCACAGGGCCACTTAGGTTTGTCTGGGACTGAGAGGGCTCCCAGGATGCAGAACTTTGCATTTTAAGACTGGCTGAGTCCTGTGCAAACAAAACACCCCATCCCAGTTGAGTCCCAGTGGAATTCATGACAACCCCATGCTGGACCACATGGCTAAGGTCCTACACTGCAGCAGGAACACTCCTAGTATCTGCCCCCTAGAGCCCTGAACATGTGTGAGTTACTATCTGCAAACGCTCAAAGTCTCGCCCGGCATGGAACAGATTTCTGCCACTCACACCTGCCCTGATCAGGAGCATGGTGTGGCATGACTCCCCCTATAGACATCTCAAGGACAAAGGTCAGCTCAGGCCAAGATCTCTATGTGCCCAGGGACTGCCAAAGCGCAAGGGCTCCCCATTGCTGCATGGTGGAAGCACCCCTCTCTGCTGCTCCGCTGGCACCAGCCAACCCACCACGACTCCCAGCACCCAGGGAAAGTAGGCACTGTCATTGTGCCCACTCTAGAGACGACAAGACTGAGCCACAGAAGGGTAAGTAGCCACCTTCAGCCTTATAGCCCAGCTGGGATACAAATGCAAACAGTCTGGCTTTGGGTTCTGTGTCGCAAGCAGCACCCCAAGGAGGTGGTACCTGCTGCAGGGCCAGGCCCTGGTCAGGCACCCGCCCACTGCCCTGGGACCAGCTCTGGCACAGCAAGGCTATCAGGAACATTGTAAACTGAGCTGAAGCAGGGTGGGGGCGGCGGTGGGAAGTAGGTGTGGGGACAGGCCAGGGCCTGGCTCGGAGGTGGCAGTTGCCCCAGTGAGCCCTGGCCCCAACAGACCTTCCTTGCATTCGAGGGCCACGCGGGACTCCAGGTTGTCCATCTGGAGCTGCAGCCGCTTGAGTGTGCGGTCAGCATCTCGTGACTTGCGCTTGTAGGCGATGAGCACAGCCACGATGACCAGCAGCAGGAGACCCCCGCCTCCGCCAATGCCCACAATGGCAGGCAGCGTCAGCAGGCTGTCCGAGTACACCTGCAGTGTCCCTGGCGAGAACTCGAAGCCACCTGCCCGCACCTGCCAGTGGGTGGAGGCCACTCAGGAGCTTCCCATGCTTTCCACAAAGCTTGGGAGCCCCTCCCGATGGGCAAGACCCACCCCCAACACCTGCCTGTGGGAAAGGTCCCACCGACAGGGGCACAGAGTGGTCACCAGGGTGGAGACACTGGGACCCAGGGCAGGCGCCTGGCCAGCCAGGGCACCACTGGCATGGCAAGGGCTCAGGGTGGGTAGGCAGTCTCGGGGGGCTCAAGGAGGTGGCAGGCTGAAGGCTACGGCAGGGCCTGCACTGGAGCCGGGCGCCCTCTGAGCTAGGGGTGAGTCTCGGGCAAGGTCAGAGCTGGGGCTGTGCTAGTGGGGCAGGGTCCACAGGTGGGGCATGGCTCTCCCAGCTCTGCACCCCCGGTGGACAGACGCACCGTGACCTTGTGCTGCCCAGTGAGGTTGGGCGCCTCGCACAGCAGTTGCGTCTCCGACACGGTGAGGGTACAGGGTGTGGAGCCGATGAGCACCGTGTAGTTGAGTCGGGAGTTGCCGGGTGCAGGTGGCAAGAGGTTCCGGCCCTGTAGGAGATGGGGGTGAGCCAGAGCCCAGGACGAGGGGCCTCTTCCCTGGCTTGGCCCAGCCTACGGGCAATGGTGACCCACCTTGAGGATGAGTGGGGAGCTGGGCTTCAGCTCCAGCAGGCCAGTGGGGCTGAGTGGCTCCAGTACGGGGTCAGGGTAGTAGAGGAAGGAGGTGGAGTTGAGCACAAGCAGGGAGCGCACGTTGTCCATGACGAAGCCCAGCTCATCCGGCCGCTCCCCCAGCTCTGGTGGGCTGCGCACAGGGTTGGCCACAGACGGGGCGCGGCATACCATGGTGGTGTCATTGTACACCAGGCAGCCCTGGAGACACAGGGTGGGGATGCTGGGCGGGACCTCCGCGAGTGGCCCGGCAGCTCCCAGTGACAGAGCCCCTGGCCTGGGGGCTGCCTGCTCCCTGCACAGATGATGCCAGGCACTAGCAGGGCTGGTCCTGGGCCACCCACCCGACGTGGACCAGGGACATGTGGCCTGAAGGAGAGGTGTGTGCAGCCAGCAACCCAGAGCCAGACCTTCTACCCGCCAGGCAGGACAGGTGCCTCCCCAGGGGTCTCCAGGCACAGCCAAGGTTGGCATAAGCTGGGAAGGGGCAGGGGTAGGGGCAGGGGCAGGGACACGGGTATTCCTAGCAGGAGCCCCATCCCAGGTGAAGGCCTGGACCGAGGTGGGCAGCTGAGGGCAGGGACTCACGTTCTCCCTCTCAATGCCTCCATACTTGGCCCGGATTCGGGGTTCACGGACAGTGGCCAGGTTGGTGCCTGTGACCGTCAGGAGGGTCCCACCGCTGGAACAGGACAGGGGTGGGGGGGTCACCAAATGATGCTGGGGCCCAGTGAGCTGGAAACGTGGGCCACAGCTCAGCCAGGCAAAGCCTGCCTTCCCCAAAGACAGGAAACAGGTAAAAGCTCTTGGCAAGGGGTGCTTCCCGGCAGGATAGTACCCGGCATGCAGGAGGGCCACCGCCAAGTGCCCAGTGGAAGAGCTCCTGGCTCAGCGCTGCTCTCAATAGCTGGGGATAGGGAATGGGTGTTGCTGGGCCCCACCTGTTGATGCTCCACTCGGGGTCGATCCTCAGGATGGTGGGGTCCTCGGTGTAGTTGTACTTCACCTCAGGGTTGGTGAGCTGGGCGCGGTTGATGTTGATGATGATGGGAGCGCTGCCAGGGCTCTGCCCGGGGGGTGTCAGGCACCGGATCTCACGGGAGTTCCTCCTGGAGGTGCCCGAGTGGGACAGTGAGGAGCACACGGGTGGAACCCAGGCAGGTGGAATGCAGATGCATTGAGGGACGGTGGGAACAGCGCCATCTGTCACAGGTACTGCCTTGGGTGGCTGCATACTATCACCGCTACTTTCCCTCCCAGGGCTGTGCATGTCTGTCCTACCCTCGCCCTGGCTCCCAGCCCCTTCAGGCCCCCACTGTTGCCCAGCCTGGCATTTGGGACCCGGCCTGCCGCCTCTCCAGGTCTGCTTTCATCACAGCCTCCCTGTCGCCCACACCCACTCCTGGTGACCCTGGCCAGGGCTCCACACCCACCAGGCCTCTGCCTCCCCAGAGGCAGTAGGCAGCAGGCCCGTCCCACGCACGCCAGGCTGGGAGGTAGGCTCATGCTGCCCTCCCTCTGTCCCTGGGGAGGGCTGGCGAGACTAAGCCCTGGCGCGACCTTCCCTGCCTGTCTCAGGGCCAGCCTCACTCAGCCGGGGCTCCGAGTGCTGGGAGCCCAGCACCCACTCCTACTACCCTGGGCCAGGCAGACACCTTCCCTCTCGGCACCTGTCCCAGTGGGAATACCTCGCCCTATCCCCGCATCCCAGGGGGCTGTGAGGAGACTAGATGAGCTGGCCTGGGTGGGGGTCACGGGGACACCCCACTGGGCAGGCAGCCAGGCATAGCCCACACCTGGGTCCGGACCCTCAGTTCTTCCACCACTGCCAGGAGCCCCACAGCCACCAGGCCCCCTCAGCTGCAGACACCAATGATTAGTCTGATAACGGGTAATTACCATAGGAAAATATTTAAAGGGACATTCCATTATCATCCCTAATCTAAAATTATCCACTTCAAGCCTCAGGGCTTTTGTTAAGATTTCTGTTTTCTCTCTTAAAAATTTTTAAAAAATACTTCTTATTTTGTACCCAAGGGATTCCCCCCTTCCCCACAGGGAAGAACCAGGGCAGAGGCAGCCAAGTTGCCCCGCCCCACAAAGGCAGGCCCCACGCCCATCACCGCCCAGTCCTACCACTCTGGAGGTAGCCTGTTTCCATGGTAACCTCCGCCTCTGGGTTTCACAGTGATCACCCCAGCCAGGCTCTCCATAGCCCCGTTGCCCAGGCAACAAGAAGGGGCATGCAACCATCTGAAACAGGAGGAGGGGCAGCCAGGCCCCCACCCCCACCTGCACCCCGTACCAGGAGAAGGAGCAGGGCCGGCCACCGACCGACACAGCCACATCACTGCCTGCGTTCAGGTGGCTTCCCTCGATGCCAATCCAGGTGCCCCCTGACAGAGGCCCACGGGAGGGGCTCACACGGTAGAAGGTTGGTGTCTGCAGGAAGAGGGAACTTGCTGAAACTCTCAGGAAAGTCCCCCTCGGGCCACATGGGGACAGGCCCCACTTGGCCTGCTTACCCCCACAGACAGTTCCCCAGACTAGGAGCCCGCATGCCCGGGAGCTGCACTTCAGAGCCAGTACTTCCAGGTTTCTCAGGCACAGCCCAAGGTGAGCCAGGGAGCCCTGGAGCTGGCCTAGGCACAGGAGGGGAGGGGCAGCACCCAGGCCGTGGAAAAGCAGTGGCAGAGCATGGCCAGACAAGGGGCCCTGAAGAGGCACAGAAGCCCTGAGCGGCACCCTCTCAGAGCAGCAGAGAATAGGGAGAGAGGGAGGGCAGCAGACTCACCACGAAGGTGAAGCGCTTGGGTGACAGGGCGCGGTAGTGTGGTGAGCAGTCCCGCACACACACCTCCACCAGGGCGTCATGGGCACGCACGGAGCTGGCGTCCCCGATCTCACAGACGATCCTGTGGGCAGGCGGGCCTCAGGGGCTGCAGGAGCCCCGCCCCGTCCCGTCCCGCCCCGCACACACCCAGGGCTGCACTCACTGCTCCGCACTGATGTACTCGCTCTCCACAGGGCTGCACAGCACCTTGCCCACGCGCACGCCCAGACGCACGTCTTCGAATCGCAGGCCCAGGTTCTCGCCTGTGATAGTGAGCCGCGTGCCGCCCTGCCTCGGGCCCGTCTCGGGGGACAGCTGAGGGAGGCAGAGGCTGGGGTACAGGCATCCCACAGGGCGTAGGGTGTGCGGTGGTGCAGGGCGGGGCATGGGGTGTGGGGGCAGGGCTGGGGGCCCTACCTTGAGGATCTTGGGGTCGGTGCAGCGACTGCTGCCGTGACGCGCGTGCATCCACGATGCAGGTGTGTCGGCAGCGCAGTGGTGTCGCAGGGAGCAGCGGCGCTCGGCCACGCACCATCCGCACTCGAAGCGCGGGTCGGCCTTGAGGCAGAGGCCGCAGCTCTCGCGCAGGGCCGGGCACTTGTAGAGGTGCGCTGTGGGGAGGGGTGCGGTCAGCTCGGGCCCGCCCACTGCCCACCCCGCCGGGGCGCCCACTCACCCTGGATGTTCTGTGGGTTGTCAATGACAAAGTTGCCGTTCCACACGACTGACAGGTTCACTGGCAGGTCGCTGACATCGTTCCCCTCGTAGGAGTACTGTTAGGTGATGGCACCGTCAGGCTTCCCAGCTAAGCGGCCTCCAGGCCTCCCAAGCCTCACGCCCACAAAGCCACCAGGGCGCCAGCTTAGGGGGAAGTTTCTGCAGCCACAACCGCTCCCTCTCCACCCTCATCCTACACAGGACTTCCTTCCTGGCTCCAGAGCCCCCTCTCTCCAGGCTAGCAACCATATGAGGTGCCCTTCCAAGGGAACCTCTGTGCTTCCCACAGTCACCTCTGTGGCACCCCCTTGGAGACCACCTCCAACCACAGGCAGCCTCTGACCACTCCCTACAGTCAGCCAGGCTGGGAAACCAAGACTCCCAGCTGGCCCTAGAATACGCATCAGCATGCTCTGTGTACCTCAGCATCTTTGCTGAATGGGCCAGGACTGCCCTGCCTTGAGGTGGGAGATCCGTGTCCCCGGACTGGGGCAGAGACAGGCAAAATCACTGTCAGGTGCAGCTCTGCTCCCCGTCCCCTCCTCAACAAGGCTGGGCTGGGCCCAGGGGAACTGCCCCTCCCCGGGAGCCTGGCTAGGACTCCAGCTGTGCCCCACTTTCTGCCACAGATGACCTCAACTCTGTTCCCGTGCTGGGACGGTGCAGGGAGCCCAGCATCTCCAAGGGGCGGCCCGGCAATTCATCATTATTTTATCTGCAGGAATTTAATTGGATCCTGTCAAATTCCCCGATACTCCCGCTTCCCTTTAAACACAGCTGAAGGGAAGATTAATGTGGGCCTGGTGAGAAGGGAGGGTGGGGAGGGAGACGCAGGTGGAAAGTGCAGGGCAGGCGAAGAGTTGGTGATAGAACAGAAATGTCTGGAAAGACTGGATGGCAGAGAGAACTCCAGATAGCTGTGGTGGCCAGGAGTGATCCTCATGGCTGACCTGCAACCCAACCTGCCCCAGGAAGCCTGTTGTGACCCTCCAGACCCTACCCCACACTGCTGGGACAGACCAGGGGTCAGCCAAGGGGCTCCAGACCTCTGACCCCATCAAGGCCCTCCCCAGGGCTTCCAGGGGATGGGGTCCAGCCAAGGCCTTGTCGACAGCCCAGTGCCCCACACAACAGCCCAGCCACCTGCCCCTGCAGTGAGTTACAGGAAGCCCACTGCTCCCTGGATCACACCCGTCCTGAGCAGAAGGGGAGACAGAGGCCTACTGGGAGTGCAGGACTTCAGCCCAGGCCTCCAACTGCTGGGCAACTGGGCCCCACTCCCCCACCACTCAGGAAATGGCTGGTTCTATAGAGATCCCGTCACTGAACGCACTGCACCTGACAGTAGAGCTTTTCAAACACTATTGTGTCAGATCTGAAGGTCTACGCATGCTCGGACCACAGGCAACAACCGTCTGCTAGTGTGCAAGTGCGGGCCAATGGGAGTGTTTTCTGCATTTGGCCAGGGATGGACGGAGCCATGCGCTCTGGCACCCTGACCTCTGCCCTCCGGGAGCCACAGTGATGAAGGCTGGCAGCCACCTGGCTATTCCTGCACACACTCAGACCTGATGATCAGCCCATGCCTGGGACCCACGGATGCTGCAATGTGCGAGTCCCATGAGGCTGGCTGCTGTCCACTCCCACATTCAGGCTGCTCCCACCACACAACTGGGTGCTCTCAGCAGCTACCAGGACAGCATGGGCCCCCTGCAGCCCACTTGCCTACATGACCCAGGCACATCTGAAGGGCCTGGCAATGGCCTGGGGAAGCCAGGAGTGGCTTCTGACTCATCAGAGATACACGTGAGCACGTGCACTGCCCTTTATGAACAAGCACACGCCAGGACCCAGGGCCGTGAGGATAACCGGCCCATTCCGGCTCACGGCCCCCAGCCCCTGCCCTGGCCACCTCACCGAGGAATTCTGGCACTGCAGGCTGGAGCTGTTGAAGCGCAGGGCGGTGACACGGGCCGGGCTGCCCGGGATGTGGAAGAGGCACTCATATCCACGCTGGCCTGACTGTGGCTGTGGCAGGTTCCGTGCGGCCAGGGTGATGGGTTTTACCACTCCCACTGGCACGTAGATCTGCGTGGAGGGCAGGATCTGTGGGCAGTCCTGGGGATAAGAAGAGTTTGGCTGAGCCCGGGGGCGGAGACCAGTGAGCAAGGTGCACCCCACTACGCTCCAGATGTGCACTGGGCCTGTGGTGCTCCCAGCCAAGCACCAATGTGCCCATTTTATGCACTGGCAAACTGAGGACCGCTGGCTGGGACAGTGACTGCATACTATGACCCAGACAGGCTCTATTACCTCTGGCCCCTGAATGCCCTGCCCCATGTTCTAGGACCCCCACCATTCCAGAGACCAAAGGAGCCCCATCTGGCCAGCAGCTGAAAAGGCCCCAGAGGCAGAAGAGATTGGGGCTCTGGGGCTGCAGGCTCTGCGCTGGGGGCCCAGGGAGTGTATAAAAATAGCCAGAGCCCAGCAGAAAAACAGGCCTGGCCTCTGGGGCCAGCATTTCGGCAACAATAACTGATGCAATGGCCTGGCTTCCTTGCAGCATGGCTGCTGCTGGCCTCAGGAGATGGCCCCTCGGGAACACTGAGAAGCTGGGCTTTAAATAGGGATGCTGAAAACAGGCTGTAATCCCCAAGCCCTGCAACAGCCCCCAAGGCAGGCAGGAAGGCCCAGGCCCAGCTCTGCAGAGATTTTCCAGGACCCAAGAGGGGGCCTGGACTCTGGCCTGGCCCCTCAGGAGCTCCAGGGAAGCAGAGTTAACAAGGCCCAGCTGGGCAAGATGACCACTAATCTCTGGGTCTGCAGGGATGCTCCTGTGTCCACTGGGGAGAGGCAGGTGGTGGCACCTTGCAGCTAGGGCCACTGGCCCCAACTTAGGGGCTGCACTTGCAACTCTGTGTTCCCAGAACAGCTGCAGCCGGAAGGCACAGGCACGCACAGTGGCCATACCTATGCTGTACCTCCCTGGCAGTCTGAGGCGCGCCCAGTGACTCTGCATGCTGAGGCTCAGGCTGGAGTCTCACCGTGACACGGGCCACCGTGGGCCTTGTCACCTTAGGGCCCCAGCCATGAAAACGGGTGGCTCAGGGCACTGAGACTCCTTTCAGTCCAAGCTAGGCTGCCCGTGAGCGCCCGAGAATGGTCAGTCTGAGACCAGCTGAGCTGCCCCCACCATCCAACCAACTGAAAAATGCCCAGAGGAGCCCAGGCAGCTCAGCCTGCAGCAAGCCAGAAGGTGACTATGGTGAGGGACGGGCTTTGTTGGTGCCCGTAAGTTCAGGAAACCTCTTGGCCGGTAGCACGAGACATGAAGCTGGCTCACCTGGCGTGAGGTCTCAGTCATGGCCCACCCCCAGAACCCAGGTCCCAGCCAGGAAAAAGCACCACCCACCCCAACACCAGTGTGAGCGTGTGGGCCCAGCACGCATCAAGGCCAATGTGGCTGGCCCCTACCTGCCTGCCCCATCACCCTGAAGCTGGCCTGTCCCCTCGCCACCCCTGCCCTCTGCCAGGTGCAGGAAGCTGACTGGCTGCCTGGGCCACACCCGGTCCTCTCAGGTGCTCCCCATACCCCCACCCCATCTCCTCCCCAACACCCAGCTGAGTGAGAACCCAGGAAGCTCGGCACCCATGCGGCCCACTGAGTCAGGATTAGGCTGAAACTCCAGTGATCACCTGACTCGACCTGGCCTGACTCTGACTCTGACAGGAGGCCTGCAGTGGCGTGGGTCTCCTGGGATCAATGACAGCTCAGAGCCAGGTCCAGTTGTCCCCAAAGGCTCTGATTACAGCCTCTTCCCCAGTGCATAGTCTCCCCGGTAAAAGGCTGGAGGTCCTTCTTCAGAGCCAGGTCCGGTTGTCCCCAAAGGCTCCGATTACAACCTTCTCCCCAGTGCATAGTCTCCCTGGTAAAAGGCTGGAGGTCCCTCTGGGAAACGCTGGGGGAAGATTAACAGGGTGCATTTTGCCAGCGCACAAGGCTCCTTCCTCAAGGGACCCCAGCCTCTCCTTCAAGCAAGGAGTCTATAGACTTGCTCAGATCTGGGAGCTGACTGGCGGGGCATGCAACTGTTATGTGAAGACACGAACCACACTCCTCCCTTTCTGCAGAGTCCAGAAACAGGCATTTCTAAGAGAAAGTCCCGACTTCTCAGCGTGTCTCATGAGCTCAGCTTCGGTGGGGGCTCCACGTGGGAGCCCTTAGGCCCTGGCACACAGCACCAGCTGCCTCCATGGCCCCAGTCTGGCGGCCCTTCCCATCAACATGCACAGGCCACTCCGCCTTCAGACAAAACACACAGACCCCAGCATGCAGGCAGGCACAAGAAGGGGCCACAGAGACCCCCTCCCAGCATGGGGGCAGGGGGCGGATGGTGGCCTTGGGGGTTAGGCCCGGCTGTCTCAGCAGGAAGCTGAATGTAGTACACTCCTGTCTCAGGGGGTGGCCCGAGGAACCCACCAGAAACAGAGACGGAAAGAGGGCTTGTGGGGGGGTTGGGGGGGGACTGCCACTGGCCATTGTTCCCTGAGTCCCGGAGGACTCACGTCACACCCCTTAGGAATGGCTCCATAAAAATCTGGGACTCAAGCTAAAAAAAAGAGTAAGTATTTGTGGAGAGAATCCACTCCCCACATAGTCCTGCGACCCCACACGTGCCCCCAGCCCAGCCCTGCCTGCTCTGCCTCCCCAACCCTGAGGCCTAGGGCCACTACTCCAGGGGCCACTTCCTCCACTCCCCAAGGGTGCCTCGAAGTTCATGGCATGGATGGGGAGGGCTCAGGGAAGGCTGCCACTGAGGAATTGGGCTATCTCAGCCCCAAAACCATCCCAAGCTGCCCAGGGCCCTGCTACCACCCCTGACGACCACTGTGCTGCCCCCCACTGCTCGAACCCTGGGCTGCGCACAGCGCCAAAGCCACTGCATCTGCACATCATCCCCACAGTGACTTCATGCCCAGCTCTCCCTGGCCCGAGAGGCCCCCAGGACCAGCTCTCGCCTCAGATTCCACCGTGGGCTCTGCCCACACCCAGGACACCTTGGCCTGGCTCTTCAGGCAGGCCGCACCCCCAGAGAAGCGCCCCACTGTGTCCCTGGCTCCTGCATACCCACTGTTATAGGCAGTCACCCTGACACAGGCACTGTGGTCCCTGCTGCCCCGGGCTACCCTCCACCGCTGTCCTGTGCCCTGATGTCATGCCAGGGAGCAGAAAAGTCCAGTCCAGAGGGTGACGCTGGGGGCCAGGGGACCTCTGTGAGAAGGGACCCAGAGGAGAGAGGGCCACCATGCAACTTCCTCAGCCCCCAGCCCCCAGCCTGGCAGGGAAGTGCAGCCCAGCTGCAGCCTCCAAGGTCTCCCTGGCAAGCAGAACCTGCCCCCTCCAGCCAACAGGCGGAGTGTCCACAGCAAAGGAAAGGGACCTGGCTGCAAGTCCCGGCTCCACACCCACAGCCAGACCCGGTGGGGATGGGGGTGGGGGCTGCCACAGCTCCGGCCTCAGCTTTGCCACTCAGCACCTGTGGGCCCTGGGTCCTGCCCTGTCCTGCTACTAAGCGCCTCATGTTCCAGAAGGAACAGCCTGCTGTTCATAAAGCTAGTGCCTTGCCCAGCCCAGAATAATTACTACTTAATTACTAGCAATTACCACTCAGCGCCTGGTGACTCCAGAACCCACCAGCCTTCAGGCACGCTAGGCCGGCAAGCTCCCCTGCCCAACATGGAGGCCTCTGTGCCTGCCCAGCCAGGCACCCGCACTCCAGGCTCTGCCCGCACCTGCTTTGCAGCCTGACAGTGCCCCCAATTGCACCCAGGAGCCCGTGTCTGCAGCCCCCACACAGAGGCCCAGGGACAGAACTCATCTGAGGCTTTTCCCCCTCCCTGAGTGTCACGAAGGACACCCAGGGGTCACCAACAAATACCACAGGCCTGACTTCAGGCCAAGACAGTGACCCCACAGGCCTCCCAGCTGGCATCCAGGGTCACCTCACTGACCCAGCCTGGTGGTGCATGCACCACACGGTGACATCCCAGACATCCACAGGTGCTCCCTGGGCCAGGCCTCAGGCGACACCCAGATGGGATGTCTCAACCCAGTTCTGCTCCACCTCTGAAAACCTGACCCTCACCCTTGCCCGGCCTTACCTCAGACACGTTGACACGGCCCTCCAGGAAGGCGCAGTCAGCCACGTTGTGTGTGCACACGTGGCGGTATTTGCACCAGTGGCAGGGAAAGGAGCCGTTGACACAGGACAGGCAGCTGCAGGGAGAGGGTGGGTGCTGAAGCCTGGGGACCCGCAACCACGTGGAGTCACCCATGATCAGAAGGACACTGTGCCGCCCCTGCTGGTATTCATAGTGCCACCTCAGGGTCTTGGCACTGACTGCTCCTGGCCTGGAAAGTTCTTCCCCCAAACCTGAATGTGGCTGCCTCTCTGCCTCCTCACACCTCCCCGACAGCTGGAGGTGTCTTGCCTCCCCACCTTCTTGCCTGCCCACACTCCTGACCCCAGGCTCCCTATCCTCTTTGCCGCTTTTTCCTCCAGAGCCTTGATCACCACCTGACTGCCAGCCAGGCATGGGTACTCGCATCAGAAATGTGTTAGTGCAACTAAGGAACTTCATTTTAAGTCTTGACTCCTTTTGGCAAACTTAGATTTAAACTGAAGCAGCACGTGCTGCCACAGAACTGGACAGGGCCATGCACATCACCTCCCTGCAGAAAGCAGGATCGCTGGGGCAGGAGCTTGTCTGTTTCCCTCTGACACACCCCAGGGTCTGCCAGGCTGGCCACTGTAGGCGCTCTGCCCACAACTCAGCCTTGCACAGGGCTGGCACCTTGCCATCTCAACAGCCTCCAGGAAGACACCACCTCCATCTCCTCTCCAGGATCTCCTGACCCGCCAGCTCCCCCACCACCCTGCTTCTCCTGTAGCCCTCGGCCCCCTCCAGGCCTCTGCCCCAGAGATCCCCCACCCCACCTGGGACGGGAGATGCTGCATCCTGGAAATAAAAAGCCTGCTTGGCTCACGGCAGTTGCTCCACAAAGAGCTGTGACAGAGTCCATCTGTGAGTCAGTCAACAAACAAAAGCATACCTGAAAAGCCACGCACCTCCTGTCTCTGAGGCCAAACCCTACTGCCTCAGCCTGGGTCCTCTGGTTCAGGGAAGGAGTGAGGGCTCTCCTCTGGGCTCACAGTGGGACTCACAGGAGGCCCCCAGATCCTCCCATCCTTCCTCTGAGGCTGGGGGTGCTCACAGCCAAAATGGGCAGCAGGCATAGCAGCTGCCTCCTAGACACACTCCCTGCCCAAGCAGGGGGCGTGCACAGGGGCCAGCACCAACCAGAGGGGACCTGGATGCTGCATCGTCCAACAGTAGCCTGCCACAACCAGAAGCAGCAGGTACCCAGGGGCCGTGTCTGGGCCCCTGCTCAGGCCCCCAAACCAGCCCGCAGCTCCTCCCTGAGCGCCTCCCCTCCATGCCAGTGCCCATGGGCCACTGTCCATATCACGGTGGCAACATTGCACAATGTGCCCTTGCAGCCATACACAGCCACCTGGGGCCCTACAAGATCCCTGTGGGGCAGGCACTGCCGCCCACTCTGACTGCTGCTTCCTGGTACGCCTGCCCCAGCCTCAGGCACCCTCTGCACTCATGGCCTTGCCCTGGCTGGCTCCTCTACCTGCAAGCTGCTCTCACAGTGGCCTCTCCTCCCTCCCTGACCGCCCAGCCTCAGGAGCCCCAATCATGGAATCACCATCTGCTGCCTGGCCACATGAGGACAGGTCTGCAGACAGCAAGCACAGTGGGACCACAGGGACGGGAGTGGGGCAAGTAGCCCAGGCCCAGGCGGGCGGAGGGGCCTAGAGACACTCACGACTGGTGGACGCTGCAGTTGTAGAAGACGAAGTCCACAGACGCAAACTTCTTCCCTGTCTCCTTGGACTTTAGGTAGAGTTTCACCACCCGCTGGTCTCCTGCACGAGCAGCATGGCTGAGTCACCAGGACTGCTTGCCCAGGACTCCCACACAGGGCAAGTCCAGACAGGGGAACAACTTGCCCGGAGACCCTCCTAGCTGCCACCATCAGTCGCATCAAACACGCATCCAGCCCCCTCAGCCCCCAGGTGACCAGGGCCTGGGATCTGCCCTGCTTGCCTCCTGCTCAGTGTGAGGGGTTGAGAACCGCGAGACTCTCCCCAGGCCCCCAGGCTGCCTGCTCCTGTGGAAGGGCCTGCAGAGCGACTGTCCAACGGGCTGTGGCAGCCAGAGGGGTCCTGCACCCCAAGTCCCCATGAGACTGTCCCCCACCCAACCTGCGCCCCACATAGCCCACCCCTCACCCACTCCCACCTTCAGCCTGCAGCCCCCCGCAAGACCCCAGGTCTCCGCCATGTGGTCCCTTCATCCCACCTACCCTGCCCTGCTCTTCCACCCTCTGGGTCACCATGGGACACCTAAAGACCTTAATGCCAGTAGGGATGGCAATAATTATGGTAGCGGAGGTGAAGTATGCTCATGTGTCTATGGCTATTCCTACTGTAAATGTATGGTGAGCCCATAAGATAAATCCTAAGAAGGATGTATCCGCTGTCCACCTCCCTGGCAGGAAGGCTCTCACTCTGGCTACATGCCTGGAGGGTTTTCTCCACTCCCAGACCAGCAGGTGGTGAGACCCCCACCCATATCAGCTGTCAGAGTGTCACCAACATGCCCTTGGAACTGAACAAGGGAGGCGCTAAACAGGCGGCAACTGGATTGCAGCCCTGGACCTGGCCAGGCAGCGGGCACCATTGTGTTGGGGCCACTCACCCTGGCCCCGCGTGATGGGCGCCACCTCCCGGGCGGAGGGTGAGCGGCAGTGGATCCGGCCATCCTCCAGGACGCTCTCAGATTCCGTGAAGTCCTCGAAGGAGCAGTTGACGCCAGCTGAGAGGTCAGGCACGTTCCAGGCCTGCAGCACAAGCTGGGCAGGCAGCAGGAGGCATGGTGAGCAGGGTCCCCATGGCTGTCCCCCACCCCTTACCACCTGGGGTGCCACACTTACTGGGACCTGGGACATGGTGACAGACACATTGCGGGGCTGCACAGTCAGCTGCACACACTGCAGCAGGTCCGCAGCAAAGCGCTGGGGCTCGTCTGCTCGCTCACAGGCGTCCCGCCGCGAGCAGCTGCAGGCAGAGGGGTTGAGGCTGGGCGGATGGGGAGACCTACGGGGCCCGCCTGCCAGGCGGGACCTGGGCAGAGAACTCGGGGTGGCTTGCCCTGCACCAGGCTCCCCCTCCCCCACTGTGAGACCACCATGGCCCTCCCCGCCTGCCCCTGCCCACCTGCCCAGACTCACATGCTGTGCAGGACACACCAGCCACAGTGGGGGTCCCGTGACCCCAGACACAGCTCACAGGACGTGTACTGCACACAGCTCTCCACAGGCACCCGCGTCACCTGGTGTGGGGGAGGTGTCAGGCCCCTCCAGTACCACCCCAGGGGTCCTTGACCATCCTCACCTCTGACTCCCTACTCTGCTCTCCTTAGGCCCGGGGAGGCCCTGCACTTGTTCTCAGTCTATTCAAAGGCAGATCTGGTGACCCTGCCCTGGCCAAGCCAGGTCGCACAGGTCAGGCCTCTGCCCTGGAAACCCAGGGGGCAGCAGCCAGAGAGAACAGTCCATATGGGGTGAGACAATCAAAGAAGCACCTGCAGCTTCAACCAGAGTTCCTCTCCATCTGTCTGGACTCCCTCCCAGCTCTGAGCTTCCCCAGCGATCAATGGGCTTGGCAGGTCCCAATCCTAAGCTCCAATGCAGGCCCAGACAATGCTCAGAGGGGCAGGCTGGGCCCCAGCTCACTCTGGCTCCTTGGCTCAGCCCAGCATCCCAGTGCCCACGGAGGCACGTCCCTGAGGTCCCCAGGAAGGCAGAACCCCACTGCGCCCAGGAGGGGCAGAGGAAAAACGAGCCAGCCAGAAGGGGAGGGAGGCTTGGCCTCAGCTGGTGTGCCCAACCTGGCCCCACCTGCCCCATCTGCCCACCCTCCAGCTGCCACGAGGTTACCAGGTTGGGCCATAGGGCAGGGGTGGACTCCAGGCAAGCCAGGCCAGGGACTCAACTCCATGGCCTTACAGAGCTGGGCCAGGCACCAGGTTGGGTAGACCAGGCCAGCCACAGGCCCTGTGGGCAGACCCACTGGACAGAGACCCAGCCCTAGGCCTGAGGACTCAGTGGCCCAGTACACACCCCAAACCCTCCAGTGACACCTGCCTCTGAAATTGCTCTCCTTCATACATCTGTTTCTGTGGTCAGGAAGTCAACAGGGGAGGGGTGGGAATGCCAAACCCAGCCCAGGAGAACATGGAGGCAGCAATGAGGCTGTGGGGCCCCTGGTGACCAGACCGGTTCCCCTGCAGACCCAGCCGAGCCCACAAGTCTGCAGGGAGGCAGAGCACAGACCAGCTTGAAACTACTTTTACCAGGAGCCATGGACGCCCAACTTGTGATGTGGCCCCACCCCTACTGCTCTGTGACTGGGGTTCCTGGTAGGAGGGCCCCCACCTTCAGCCACACCGTCTGACTGGTGCAGCACCCACCTGCTTCTCGGTCATGGCGTAGAGGTACTGGTGGTTGGGGCTGAGGACGAGGTCTCGCAGGATGGGGCTGCCCTCCTGGGCCACGACGCTCTCGTA
The DNA here is from genome assembly GCF_000001405.40 of Homo sapiens. Lineage (NCBI taxonomy): Eukaryota > Metazoa > Chordata > Mammalia > Primates > Hominidae > Homo > Homo sapiens. The sequence goes on along the minus strand of NC_000003.12, from coordinate 127,003,374 downwards.
GGCCAGGGCAGGCCGGCCACCGGGGTTTGAGAGGTCCACCAGGATCTGCGGCAGCAAGGGGCCCTAACTGGAGCTGTGCTGATACCTCCCTGACCCAGCCCCACCCCCCACAGAAGGTCAGGGGTCTAAAGCCCCTCCCTGAGCTGCCCAGACATGCATGAGCAGAGAGGACCAGCGCCAGCCATACTCACTCTCCACATCCCCAGCCCCAGCCCCAGCCCCAGCCCCAGCCCCAGTGCAGGGCAAACTCAGACCCCAACAGGCCAGTCTGTGATTCAGCCCCTTTAACAGTCAGCAGAGGCCAGAAGGTATTGGGGCCTGGAGACAACCACAGCCCAGCACCCACCACGGAGCAGCATGGCCACACCCAGGGTGAAGGCTACAGGAGTCCCACGGGTGCCTAGCCATCCCTGGGGCCAGGCTGGGCTTTTGAAGGAGGGATGTTGGTTGTCGGGGGCAGAGGCCAGGGCTCACAGGAAGTCTAGGGCAGTGGACCAGGAGACTCCAGAATGGGGTGTCCTAGGGGTGGGGGCATCCTGGCAAGGCAGTGGAGGAGGGTGGGCGTCTCATCGGCATGGAAATGTATTCCAGATCCCAAACAAACCAGGCGTTAATTAGCCAGCTCTTCTCCGCAGCTCACGATGCTGCAAGTATTTTTAGTTGCTTTTACCAAACAAATGTATTTAATTAACAGAGAGACCCACGGGGCTTTCCAGAGATGGGACTCTTGGGGCGTGTCTGCCCAGCTCTGAGTCCAGGGTAGGCTCTCAGGCTGCGGGCTGTGGCCTGCTTCCCCCAGCCTGACCCACTCCTGCTCCCGCTCTACCTCTCCACTTCCACCTCAGGGCAGGGGCCTAGGCCCAGACTCAGTACCCCTCCTCTGTGTCCTCACTCCTCACGGTTACAGAGCAGGGCAGGTCCAGGGCAGCAGGGCCCAGCGAAAGCCCTGGTTGGAGTCCGATCCATCAGGCCTGGGCTGAGGGCGGCCAGCCAGGGTGGGGCGCTGTGTTTCTGAGCCAAAGAGGCTGTCGGCTGGGAGAGGGGGAGGGCCGCATTCCTGAGCGCCGCCGGCCACCCCCCACATCCGCTCAGCTGCCTCGCCACCAAGCAGGCTTAAGTCAAACCAGACCCGGAAGAGTGGAGCCCAAAGCTGGGCAGGGGAAGAGGCGGCCAGGATGGGCCCAGCTGCACTGGCTGCAGGGCCATGGCCCACGGCCTCTGGGAGGAGAGATGCAGGGACAGCGGGCGGCCCAGGAGCAACCAGGCCACGGCCGCCCAGCACCCCTGCCGGTGGGGCCTGGACTGCACCCACACCCGCACCAAGTGCACCCGTGCCTGCCTGCCCTGCAGCCACAGCAGGAGTAGGAGTCCTTGTTTAAGATGACCACTGGCCCAAGGCCTGCCCGACGGACGCTTAGGATGCCAGCACCACAAACCCCCTGCTTTGCTCTGGGTCAGTGGCCAGAGGCAGGTACTCAGACCCAGGCGGATGCCAGCCAGGACCAGCCTCTGGGCCACAGTGCCTGGGTCCAAACCTCTCTCTGCCTCCCTCAGACAGAGTTGTTCTGAGGATTATATGAGAACCAGGCCAGGTGTGCCAGGCGGGAGCAGGGGGACCCAGGGTGGCCAGGCCCACAGCAATCACCGCACCTGCGCAGCCAACCACACATCCAAGCCAGCGGCTTAAGACAGCCACCAGGGAGTGGGGGAAGGAAGGCGAGGAGGGCAGGACACAGACTGGGTGGAGGCTGGGGCAGGTATGCCCAGTGCGCAGACCTGCGGCTCCAACCTGGAAGACCCCGGTTAGGGACCACGATTCCTCTCATCTCCTCCATCCTCACAGTCCTGTGGATATCCCCAGCGGCTTCCCGCTGTGAAGCCCAGCCCCAGCTCCCCCTCCCCTACCAGCACCAGGGGATATGGCCCCTGGCCCCTCTTGCCCCTGGTAGCAGAGCCCCTTCAGCCTGAGCTGATGGACCCTGGCCCGGCATGCAGGGAGCACTTGAGAGGTGTCTCAACAAGGACATGACCCACCTCCCCAACAGCCAGGGCCACATGATGCCGGAGCCTGACCCTGGCCCGGCCTGCAAGGCATCCACCCACTCAGGGTTGGGGGCACAAATGTCACACCAAGGGGTGAAGAAACGGGTCACAGAAGGGCAGGTCCAGGGGGCACACCAGCTCCAAGGAAAGGAACGGTGGGTGAGGGGTGCAAGGAGGGGTCCCAGGAAGGGAAGAAGCCATAGGAGCTTCTTCTGGAGCTGGGCCCCAGGCTCCAGAACGCCCCGCTCCACCCAGCAGCATGCCGACTGGACAGTTGGCTCTGACAGCTGCAGCCGGGAGCACACGCGTCCAGCTGTCCATCCGCCATGTACCCATCTGTCCACCCACCTGCCACCTCCACCCCTTCACACACACAGGCTGGGCCCAGGGAGACAGAGCCCCAGGAGAGGCCATGGCATGGCCAGTGTGAGCGGGGCACTGGGGAGGCCACTACGGCACAGCACACCAGACCAGAGGATGGATGTGACGCAGGTGCAGGCCCCACACTGTTCACTGAGGCGCCACGGTCCAGACTCAGCAGGGCCCCTGTGCACCCACACATGTTCTACAGGGCATCCAGCTAGGACAATGGTCCCCAGGACATGTGTCTGTGTCCTAGCCAGAGTTCAGGGTGAAGGGCCTGTGCAGCCAAGCCAGCTTTATCAAACCACACAGACAGGAGGTAAGCTGAGACTCACACAGCACCTGCCAGAGGAACCTTGGGCCCTGGACCCGCAACTGCACCTGGGAGGAGTACAGAGGCTGCTCGTAAAGTGGGAAGGGGGAGCCAGTACCCAGCAGGAGGGTATTCCAGGAGAACCAGAGCACAGGGGCACAGACGGCAGGTGAACCTGGGGCCAGAGCGGGTGGCAGGACAGAAGGGCACACGCCGGCCGGGAGCCCACGTGCCGACGCCCACACCCTGGCCACAGCTGTCCACTTTCGGGCCACCCGCCTGGAGGCAGCCCACCCTCGAGGTGGCTGGGCCCAGAAGCCCCTCCCACAGCAGCTGGGCAGCTGGCAGAGCAAATGAGAGGCTTGACGTGTCCCGGGCATGGGAACGGGCCACAGGCATGCCCTGGAATCTTCCCCCAGCTGTCACCTCCTTGCTCTGCAAATCTTTCCCCAAAGACCACCAGAACCTTCCACAACTGGCCCCAACAGCCCACCCTCCCACCTCCCAGCACAAACCAGGAGCTGGCGCTGCCCATGCATGCCGCCCCCTGCTTGAGAGGACCCTCCCCTTGACCCAAGGGGCTTCAGCAGAGCCAGCAGCCTCCCTGGATATGCCCCTTGGCTGCACCAGGCCCCCACCCACCCCTGGCTGGCGGAACACGGGATGCCCCCACCTGCTTCTGCCTGGACCATCTAACCCTGGGGTACCTGTCCTACATGCACACGGGCGAGTCGACCCTGGGCTCGGAGCCGAGACCGAAGTGCAGTCCCGAGGCCTCTCAGTGCCCAGGCCACGCCAGGCATGGCCCTCACTCCTGGACTGAGCACCTCCCACCACCACAGGGCTCATCTGACCCTCCCCACAGATAGGCCAGGGAGCAGGTTCACCCCTTTGCCCCCAGGACACAGCAGGCAGGGCTCAATGCAGGCCCCAGGCTGGCCCTGCTGGCTGTACCCACTCCCATCACCGCCACAGCCCTGGCCAACTGCTGCCGGCGGGCAGCTGAGGGCCCGGCCAGGTCAGCTGTCCATCCCGCCCAGAGCCAACAAAGGGCCCATTCTCCGGGCTGAGGGCAGGCGGGGGTGCCGGGAGGATGTCTGGGCCACCCAGGCTATGTGCCAGGACCGGCACGCGCCCCAGCCGCCGGGAGGCAGGGGGCTGCCCGGCTTGGCCCTGACCTGGCAAGGGGAGTTGCCCAACTCTGCCTGCCCCATGATGGCAGCCAGGGGCCTGGCCCTCCCTCTTTCTGTGAGGCGGGGATGCACCTGTGGAGCTGCCTCCGGGCCCCAGGGCTGGGAGAAGGACAGGACAAGGTGGGGACAGGCAAAGACCGGGGCAGCAGCTAAGGAGGTGCCCACACGTGGAGGCCTCACACACTTCTCAGCCTTTCTGCAGAGGCAGCTGCCAAACCCGTCCCCAGCCTGAGGTGGCCCCAGGAAGGGCTGCCCGAGGGGCAGGAGCCTCTGCTGCCCTCTCTTCTCAGGACCCCCACAGGGTGCAGAGCCCACCTGCCCCTCCCCTTCCCAGCCAGAACTGCACAGCTGAGGTAGGCCCCAGCGGACCCACTCCCAGACCCTCCTCACCCCTCACAGGACTGCCCCCTCCTCCAGCTGTGGACAGGTTCTAGGCCTCCTTCCTGGGTCCCCACCACTCTCAGAAAGGCCAGGAGGAACTTGATACTGGAAAAGCAATTAGCAATTTCCTCTTGGCAGTAATTGGGTAATTAAAACAGGATTTGCAGGAAGCCCGAGGGCTGGAATCAGGCCAGACACACCTGTCGGGGGAGAGAGTGTCCTAGGAATCCCATCTCTTCCACCCCCAACCCCCAGCACACAGGGAGAGCAGAGACTGAGGTCAGGGTCCTGGCAGGTGAAGGACAGCCAGGGCTGCCTTAGACAGGCTCCAGCCTGCCCCAGCAGCAACCCCTCAGCAAGGAGTGGACCTCCCCAACCCCTGGTCTCATCTGCCAACATCCACCTCACAGAGCTGTGTGAGAATTCAGGAGTTCATGGTTCCAAAGGGGAAGTGCTTGGCCCTGCTGTGGGGCAGATGTGCACAGCTGCCTGGGGAACCTAGCACCCAGCTGGTGAGGCCACACCTGGTGGGGCCACCGTGAACCACCATAGACTGCACCACCTCAGTCACATACCACTGCCTGGGCTCCGGGCTAACCTGGGGCTTGGCCAGAGTCTCCGCCACAGCCAGGCTGTCACCAGCACGGGTCCTGTGGGGACACAGGCAGCAGGGACCATCTGCCCCAGTGTCTTCCCTCAAACCCACCAGCTGCCTGGTGCCCTCTCTCCTCCATCCTGTGACCTCAATGCCACCTCCAGCTCTGACCCTAGTGCCACCCCATGGCCCTGGGCCCTCAAAGACCCACATCAGCACCTACCCCCCATCCAGCTGGTCCAGCCACCTTCTCTGGTGAAGTGACCCACCACACAAGCATAGTGTGCCCGAGGCAGCCCCTGAAACCCCAAAAGGCACAGTACGCTTCCCAGCATCCACGGGGGGCACCTCTGAGCTTTGGCCCTCCTGTTCCTTGTCCCCAGAACACCCTTCCAGCAGACCACCCAGTCCCCTGGGTTGTTCCAGCCTCCATACCCACTGCACGCTGCCAGCACCTCCTACATCGTGGTCTCTGCTGTGGTTGGGACCACAGGCCCCATGTGCCTGTGGGGGAAGGCGACTGCCCGGTGTGGATACTCACAAGGCTGCCCCTGCCAGGCTGGCCATGAGCCCGAGCACACACAGGACGGCATGGGGAAGCCACTGCTGCCTCCACCTTATCAATGGTGTTGACGGGCCCGTGCCCTGGCTTAGGCCTGACTGGCTTAGGGCTCTCCGTGAGTGCCCCATGGGTGGCCCTGCCAGCCACTGGGAAGCAGAAGCGATGCTTATGCACCCTCGCACACCACCAGCTCTGGGACGGCACTCATCATGCCCACAGGGCAAACAGCAGGTCGCTCCCTGCATCCTCATGGCTCAGCCCACAGTGGCCAACTACATCCAGGAGAGGCGGAAAGGGGGCGGGCACACGCTCACCAGGAAGCACAGATGTCGGCAGGTTACCGTGCAGGGCCCCGTGAAGGGGACTGGGACTGCTGGCCTGGGCGGGCAGTGGCAGCACACACTCAGGCCCCACAGAGAGCAGCCATGACAGGCAGCTGGCTCTGCCCCATCCCACCAAGACTACCAGTGGGGGCACAGCAAAGACGGACCCGGTGGCCTGCCCCAGAGCACCTGCCTCATGCCCATTGACCCCACATGCTGCCGGGCACTGCCACAGGCCGCCACCAAGTCCTTCAGCAGCAGCAGAGGTGGTCCCAGAGAGTTAAGGCAGAACAACAACAGAGGCTCCACAGCCTTGCTCCCAGGCTGAAACCCCAAAGAAATCCATCCTTCTGCCACAGGAATCCACACACAGCCATGCTTACAACAGGCCTGCAAGGACTGGCAACACCATGGCCATCCAGAGTGGGCAGGATGCACAGGCATGTGTGCTTGAAACACGCAACATGAGGACATGGCACGCACCACAGCTGCCCACAGTAAGGAAGAGTCTTGCCAAGCAAAAGATGATGACTCAACCCCAGAGCCCACATAGCAGCACACAGCGTCAAAGGAGCCAGCCAGGGCGGTCACCCTGGGAAGGGAAGGACCAGGAGGGGCTGCCGGGGATGGTAGGTGCCTATGCTCTCCCGTGACACACCCCCAATGCACGCTTCCATGTGTGTCACTTCCATGTGGCGTCTGTCACAGGCTGACCATGCAGGGCACAGGACCCTCCTGCAGGCTCGGGAGTGGGCTGCATGCTGCAGGTGCAAGGGGCACGTCCCCAAAGAACGCCAACAGTGCAGCACAGGCTGTACCTGGGAATGACTGTAGGCTTCAAGGGCAAGTCATTGAAATCAACTCCCCTTGTCCCTCCCTCAACAACACACAAGATGAAACTCAATGGTGGGGGACAGCAGCCTCTCCACGGCTAAGGGGCTGGGGGCTCAGTCCTGCCCTGCACCTCCCTTGGGTCAGGGCTGCCTGTGGCCAGCACACTTCTTGCCCCCCCAGCTCCAGCTCTTTCAGGACGGTCTCCTACCACATCCCTGGCACAGACCCTGGACAGGGAGGCTCACTACAGACCTGAAGAGGCTCAAGCTGCCAACCCCACAGTGGGCACCTGCCACCAACTGCCTTGCACTTGCGTGGGCTGTGAGATGCCACTCAACTTCCAGAACTTACAAATTCCAAAATCCTGCCTGGGGTCCGGGGGTATGAGGGGAGTGCAAAGAGGCCTCTAAAGCATGCTGAAAGCTTCTAGAGCAGTGGGGCCTCTAGGGGGCAGGTGTTCCTTGTCCCCAGGCAGCCCAGGCACACAGCAGGTGCCCAGCTGTCTGCAGAGAGGAAGATGGCCGGGCGGAGGACACCTCCCACGCTGCGCAGGGCTCCAGAGGCTTCGCTCCAGCTCCAGGCCCCGCAGGCCACCATTCCCGAAGCTCAGGGATGGCAACTAATGCCACAGGCCTCCTAAGCACTTCAGAGACCCAGCTGCTGCAGGTTCCACCACTGGGAACCCCTAGGAGTGCTGAAGAATGGTGGGGACCAGGAAAGCTGCAGGAGGTGCTGCAGCATGAGTCCTGAGGGCCCATGAGCACAGGGACAGGGGCCAGCCAGGCCAGGACGCACACAGGGAACTGCAGCTGCAGCCTCTGTGCAGGGACCGCCACAGGGAGATGCTGTGATGGCTCATCGGGGTCAGCTCCAGAAGGAACTTCAAGCCCCAAGCCTCCCTGGGGTATGCCCAGATGCACCCAACATCCAGGGAAGGAAACCAAGGCCCCAGAGGATGGGGCTTCACCAGGGCCATGCCTCAGAGCCCAGGTGGGTGGCTTCCCTAAGCTACTCAAGGCCACAGTGCAGGTCCCTGGGCCACAAACTGGTGGCCAAAGGGATGCTTGAGTTGGTCCTGTTATACTCTCTTACAACGTGGATTTAATAACCAAGAGATCTCACACAAAATACAGGTTTCCAGAATCTTGAAAAACCGGGTGCTCAGGCAGTCAGGCCTACATTCCCTGAATGGGCAGGCTGGGCCTCAGCCAGGGGCTGGCTCCTTTTGCCCCGCAGCAGCAGCAGGACCAGAGCAGGGCTGGCCTCGGGTGCCCGTCAGCCGGCCCACAGGGCAAGGCTCTCCCCAGCTTCCTCTGTAGGGGGACAGCACCCGCTCTGCAGGAGGCCGGGGCCTGTGCTCTCCCCTCCCATGGGGGTACTTGGGCTGATGCTACAGGACCCAAAACAGGGGCTGCTCCTGTGAGCTCCTGACATGGCCCGGGGTCCCCAGAGGCCACGGGAGGAGCTGGGAGCAGGGCGCAGGAAGTTCGCTGAGAGAGGCACCCCAGGGGGAGAGGCTGCCTGTGTGGGTGCAGAGCAGGTGCCAGGCAGGGCTCTGGTGAAAGGAGGGGGGACAGGGGCACCCCCAGTCAGCCCCATAGCCGAAGTTGGCAGGTCTTAAATTAATCAGCTACAATTTCACACCCCAACAGTTTGACAGGAACTGGCCCGGGGCCAGCCAAGTCCCTGGAGCTCCCCAGACACTTTTTAAAGCCCGGAAAAGACTGGCCTGGGAAAGACAGGGAGTGGTAAGCCTGGCAGGCCTGCCCCTGGGTCAAGCGTGGGCTGGGGGTCCCCAGGGCCCAGCTCCAGGAGACCAAGTGAAGAAGGCAGGAGGCGGGGCCCTGTGCTCTGAGAGCACAGCCAGGCCAGCTGCCTCAGGGAAGGAGAAGCCCTATGTGAACAGGCAGGAGGGAGCCCCGGGGCCCGGCCTCTCCCAAGGCCCTGAGAGCAAGAAGGAGGCAGGGCAGCCCAGGGGCCGGGCTCAGCATGGCCCTCCTTACCCTGGCTCTGGACCCTGGACCACAGCCAGCCCCACACACAGGTTGGGTCAGCATGACAAGGAGAGACGAGGAGAAGTGAAGTTCTGCTGCCCCCGGGCCAGGCCAAGTAGAGGCCTGTGTGGCCAGCGGGGAGCAAGCATCCTTCACAGTGGAGCAAGGCCAGAGGCCTCGCACTGGAGTCTGCAGGACATAACAGAGCCAAGGCAAGCAGAGTAGGACTCGAACCCAGGCCCCAGAACAAGTGAGGGTAGATCTCCTCCTCCTGGCCCCTCACCCCAAACCCAGGGCACCCTCTGCCCATGTGGCCTGTGGTGGGAAGTTAGGCTTTGAAGGTCCCACGGTAACTAGGGAACAAGGGAGGCAGAGCGGATGGAACAGGCAGCCACCCCAAAATGCACCCACAGCAGCAGCACTCCCAGCCAGGTCGGAGGGCAGGAGCTAGCCAGACAGCCAGGGTCTTGGACTGTAACACAGGTGGGAGTGGGTGGCAAGGGGCTCCTCAGAGAGGGGGTCACTGAGGAAGGGGCCTAGCTCTCAAGGCTAGCAGAGAACTCTGCCCAGCCTCCTCCAAGGAACCGCAGAAAGGGAGGGAAGAGCCAGCAGCCCTGAGCACCTGCCTTGAGCACTCAGTTTCCCCACCTGTCAAACAGATGACAGGCTGCTATGAGGCCTCTGTAGGGTGCAGGCGCATGGTCAACACTCATCACACACCCCAGGCCACACGAGCATGCCAGGTCCGCATGGTACGAGGAGACACCAAGGCTCAGAGAGGCTGGACGGCTTGCTCAAGGCCACACAATGGGCAAGGAGAGGGCTGGGACCCACAATGACATGCAGCATTTGCATGACGTTGAGGTTCAAAAACCCTGCACGGGACATGCCCAGCTGCTGGACAGTTTGAGAGCAGGTGGATTTGGGTGAAAGAGTACAGGCGGCAGGTTCTTCACCAACATGACCGTGTCTGCATCCAGGGGGACAAAGCAGAGGCGTGCCTTGCCTGGGGGGGCCTCCGAACAAAACTCAGACCCAAGTCCCCGACTGCAGACTCTGCCAGGCCAGCAACCCCTGGGCACAGCTGACCCCAGATGCTCCCAAAGGGTGCCACTCACACATGGCCCACGGCACCCAGCCCAGACTTGTTTGGGGGTGGAGGGAGGCGGTACCCAGGTTGGGTGCTGGGAGGCAGGTATGGGCACCTAGAGCCTCTGAGGAGAACTTGGGGCTCTGAGGGGTGGGGGCCCGGCCAGGGTCACCAGGAAGGAACTAGCCATGTCAGGCCATGAGGACGCAGCCTCCACCTTCCCAGCTGCACCATCCAGCAGCTGCCCACAAAGCCAGGCTCAAGGAGGCACCTGGCCCAGGGAGCAGAGGACAGGCTCCACCCATACCTGCCTCCCTGAGAACGGTCCTCCTTGGGACTAGGGGTGGGAAGGGGAAAATTGGGAGAAGGAATGGGGGCAGGAAGAAGGGGAAGAGTTGGTAGAATCTCAACCCAGAAGCAGCCTCTTCCCATAGATGGGCCCAAGCCCAACTCTGCAGTTCCCTGTTCTGTACCTCAGTTTCCCTCTGTGGGACTGGGGTGAGGAGGCAGGGGAGACAGGCCAACTGGCACCCAGAGGAACAGCTGTGTCCTGCTGCTCCCTCAGCAAAGCTCTGACCCAAACGGTGCCCCTGGGGCACAAGAGGGTGAGTGCTGGGCAGCAGGAACAGGGTAGGGCTAGAGGAACCTGGTCACTGGCTGGGTAACAGGCTCTGGGGCGCCCCACAAAATGTCTCTAAGCTGCTGCACTGGGCTTCCACACAAGCACGGTCCTCTGTCTGGCAAAACCCACTCCAACACCCACCCCATGCGCTCGAGAGCCCTGTGTGCCTTCCAGTGTGAGGAGAGGGAGTGCAGGCTGAGAGGACGGGAGGGGCCTCGCACCAGAGCCACAGGGCGGTACCCCACATGGGGGCCAAGAGGGAAGTCACAGCAGAGGACCCAACTCAGGGGTCACAGGACTTTCCCCATCAGCTTCAGCCTCATAGCCACTATGAGCAGAACCAGCAGGACCCCAGGGCACCCCCACCCTGGGGGGCCTACAATCAGCAGCTGGGCCCCCACGGGCCCCAAGACCACCAGCACCCCCCGCCCCCAGCCCAGAGCCTGAACATCTGGCTTATTTCACAGAGGGAAGCTGAGGCTGCAGGGGATCCCCTCCCAGAGATCACAGAGCCAGGGAGGGGCAGGACTCCCCACCACTCCCAGGGCAACTACCATGGCAGAGATGGGAGGCCCCCTTCCTAACACTGGGCACCGGGCTGAGAGCTGCAAGCCCTGGCCAGCCCCCGGCCCAGCCCCACTCGCGGGCACACATGGGCTCAGGGGAGCTGCATCGGCACCAGCCTCTGGTGCCGGTTATGCACCCCAGGACCCACCACTGCCCACTGGGCCTCTGGGGTGTCCAAGTATCCCCACCCTTCAGTCTCTCCGGGAGCTTCCTCCACACCAGGCCAGCCTGGTGCCCACCCCAGCCCAGGCAGCTCCCCTCCACCCACACCCTCCAGGAAGCTCTGCACTGCCTCTGTCCAGCCCACTGTTCTGGGGAAGGAAAGGAGAACCCTGAAGACCAGACAGCCATCCCTGTAGCACCTAGCCCTCCCCCTGCCACCGTGGGGCCAGCCCAGGGCTGTGTGCTGGAGCTCCTCAAGCACCAGCCAAAGACAGGCAGGGGCACTACCCTTGCCCTGCCCTTGGCCCAGTAGAGGGGCTGGGGAGAGGCAGGGCCAAGGCCTCTGGCCCGGCAGAGTGCTGAGGCAGCAGACACTGGATCTCCTGGCTGGGGAGCAGGGCCCAGAGGGGAGGGGGCCGCGCAGGCCTGCCCTCACCACCCACACACAGCAGCCTCCCCAGGAGGTCAAGTGCCCTTGGAGAGCCAGCCCCCGCCTCAGCATCCCTGGGCCCCTGCACAGGCTCCTGCGTGGTCTCAAAGTGTCCTTGCTTAGTGGGCCTGGGGCCAGTCATGGGCAGAGGCACAGAGGGGAGTGGGGCCCTTCAAGGTCACTGGGCCTAGTGTAGGGCAACATTCCCCCTGCCCCCTGTACGCCAGATCTAGCCTCCCACAGCATACAGCAGCACTGGGCCTGCCACCTGGGACGGCCGCAAGCCTTTGTTCCTGCCCCAAGCCCCCTCCTCACCCCACCCCACCCAGGCCTGACCTTGCGGATGCGGCCACTTCGCGTGCCGGCGAATACCACAGTGCGGCCCCGATAGTCATAGGCAGCCACGGCGGTCAGGCCATCATCCTTGTCCACGAACAGGGGCGTCCCCTCAATGGTGACTGTGCCCCCCAGGGGCTGGTTGAAGTCCTGCCCGCAGAAGTCGTCATCGATCTGCAGGGGCTGTGGGAAGGGGCAGGGTGAGAGCCACTCCCCGGGCACCTTCTCCCGGAGGACTGGGCCTCCCTGGGCAGGGCTGGGAGTGCAGTTGTCTTTCTAGAGAGGTTGGGGGTAGCCCCCAGAGGAGAGGTGCAGACAGAGAGGGTTTAAGACAGGAGGGAGCAGATCACACCTGAAAGGCAGAGGGCGGGCTCCCAGCTAAGAGCACGAGAAAGCAATCAATAGCTTGAGGTTCCGGAGCAGCTGGGGGCCAGTGTGGAGGGGGCGCTGCTCCACCGCCAGGCCTAAGGAGAGGGCAGGGCAGGCAGGGAAGGGATGTGGGGAGAAGTGGGGCAGATGGTCCTTGTCTGCAGAGGGTTCATTGGCAGGGGCCAGGCTGCTCAGGAGGAAGGAGCAGGGGAGGCTGGGCCAGGGCTAGGCCACATGGAATGAACAGGTGGGAGGGGGCAGTGGGGACTGTCCCCAGGGATGAAAGAGCAGGCCCCAGCCTTGGGGCAGGGCACAAAGAGAGAGTGTGGTGGGGCTTCACCCAGGCTCTGCCCCTACAAGCCTCAGTGTCTCCATCTGTATGGTGCAGAGAAAACACGTTCCTTGAAAAGCCAAGGGGAGGGTGGACAACCGCATCTGCCAAGCACACATGGGCCCTGCCTCACACAGGCAGTGAGCGTGAGACGGAAGGACTGAGGGGCCCTTGCAGTCCCACTCTGCCCTGAGGACAAAACCAGCAACACCCTCAGGTCAGACATGGGAGACTACAGCCAGAGAGGGCGAGGCCTTCCCCTGCGATGGCCAGCGACCCCCAGCAGCAAGCCCAGAAGGCCTGGCCTCGGGGGTCCCAGGTCTGGGCCGAGTCCCAGCCCCTTCACTTTCCACCCTAAGCAAGGCCCGTGCCCTCTGAGCCTGCCCAGGAGTGTGAACAAGACACTCCCTGAAAGGCAGCGAGATAGAGGCCCCACCCCAGCTGTGCCTTCTGATGGGTGCTGGGGGCTGTGGCTCCCTGCAGTCAGGGTCACTTTCTCTGCAAGTTGTTAACTGTGGCCTGCACCAGGACACCATCAGCTCCCATTGCTGGGCAAAAGCAGAGGCCCAGCGGGCAGGTGCCACCAGGGTCATGTGGGGGACACAAGCGCTCCATGGAAATGGTGTCTGGGCTCACCTGATAGGCTCTGGCACCAGCCTCTCACTTGCTGTGTGACCCAGGGCAAGTTACCCCACCTCTCTGATCCTATAACCTCATTTGTAGGATGGGGACAAGATGGAGCAGGCAAGCACCAGGTGTAGGACCAGGCATGTGGCTGGCACTCTGTCCAGTGTCCCACAGGGGCTGTGGACTATGCCAGCAGGGCCTCGTCACCCCATCTTCTGAGGCACAAGACAGCATCATGGCTGGGAGCAGCCTTTGGGGCTAGCACCCTGGGTCCAAACCCACTCTCTGGGGGATGGAAAAGGGCAGCCCCACCTAGCTGAGCCATGGGGATGGCCAAGCCAAAAGCCAGGCCAGGCACACAGCAGGCACCACTGGGCGTGCATCTGACACCGATGCCGTCGTCCCTGGAGGGGATGGGGCCGCGGGAGGAGGGGCGCCCCTGCCCAACTCACCGAGTTGATGCAGCCCAGCTCCTTGTTGAGCAGCCACGGCAGGGAGAGCTTGCCCTCACCACGGTAGCAGGACTGGATGCGCTCCTTAATCTTCTCCTTGATGGCCCTGAGCGTGAACAGGCACAGTGCTGACTCCTTTGGTGGCTTCACGCGGTTCTTCTGGCCCTGGGCGAACACAGTGAACAGCACGTCCTCGTCCTCAGCCAGGCCCAGCTGGTGGGCCAGGGCACGGCCGGGCCGGCTCAGGTAGGCATCCTGCACCAGGCGGTACTCCACACCCGCCTGCTCGCAGCCAATGGGGAACTCAACGTACGAGTAGAATTTGGGGTCGTCCACACAGAGCCGCACGATCTTGGACGTGAAGAAGTGCTCGCCGGCGGCATCAGGCGAGGTCAGCTGTGTGTCTAGCTGCAGCGTGAGGTAGTAGACAAACTGCTCGCTGCGGAAGCTGTACACATAGTAGATGTCAAAGGCCGGGAACTTGGACAGCGTGTCCGAAGGGATCTTGAGCTGTGATGACACAAACTCATCCTGGTACACGAAGCCGAACATGTCGGCATCCTCCTCGTTGGCCATGAGCCGACGGCTGGACAGTGTGGGGAAGTACTCGGACTTGCCATCGATGGGTGTGCCCACGAAGAGCTTGGCCTGGCCCTGGCCCGGTGGCCCGGCAATGAGCACGCCCGCCATGCTGCCTGCCTCCTGCACGCTGGACAGGTAGTGCTCCTTACGGTGGTGTGGCTCACCCAGTTTGAAGAGATCGTCCAGACGCAGGAACTGGCAGATGCCCTGGGAGGCGCTGCCACAGGCCAGCAGGCGGTTAGCGGCATAGTCCAGCAGCAGCAGCTTGTTGACGTTGTCAGTACTGCCCAGGCCGTGGGGGCAGGACTGCACGCTGGGCGGCGGGTAGCACTTCTCGTTGTCCTCCACAGGGCCCGTGACGTGGGCCCGCAGCAGTGTCAGGTTCCCCGACAGCTTATAGATGCGGTTCACTGCGCCCACATACACCTCGCCTGTCTGCTCATGCACCACTAGGTGGGTGAGGCCCCAGTCGCTGGCCGAGAAGGTGCGGAAGGGGGGCTGTGAACCCCCGCCTGCCCTGGGCAAGCCTGCCTCAGCCCACATGCCCGGCAGCAGCAGCAGCAACAGCAGCAGCAGCAGGAGCACCTGCAGGCTCCGCGGTGGCAGCGGCATGGCAGGCTGGGGCCTTGGGCCTCGGTGCTCTGGTCCTGCTGGGGTGAGCATCATGGTGCCAGGAGCTTCAGCCCTGGGGAAGGGGCAGAAGAGGGCATGTGAATGCAGGCATGGCCCATCCCATGATATTATGATCTCCCAGTGTGAGCCCTTCCAGTGCTGGGCGTGCCCACTGCACCTCCAGGAGGCAGAACCTGACCCACCAGGAGGAGCCAGGGGCAAACTGGGCACCTCCCTGGCCTGAGGCCCTATAAGCTGTGGGGTGCACCAGGTATCCCCAGGACACCTGGCAAGAGGTCACTCCGTTGGCACCTGTGCCCTGCCATCACTGGCGGAGGCCAGGAACAGGAAGGCAGGTGACAAGGGCCTGAGGTGTGGAATGGGACCCCAGCTGACACCAACATCTGACACCAACCTGGAGAGCAGCCTTCACCCAGAGCCTCCCTATGCACTGGGGAGCAGGACCCTCCCCACAGCTCTGTACTCCCAGGGTGGGCACCAGCTCCCTGCCTGAGGCTGGTGGGGACATACTCCACCACCGTCCCCTACAGAAGCTTGACATAGATGGGCTTTAGTGCTCACTCCCACCTCCACAGCCCTGCCTCTCCCCCGAACACGCCCTGACAGCCCACAGCAGAGGCACCACGGAGGACATGGAGGCCCAGGCCACACAGGCAGCAGTTCTCACTGTGGATAGGTGGCAGCCTGGGCTGCTCTCGGTGGGACCCCAAGCCCCATGCTGGATAAACCTTGAGACCTGCAGTCCAGAAGCCAGGCAATGTGTCCCACCCACATCCCCACCCCAGCCGACGGGTGCCCCGCCACACGGCCCCTTCCCAGGCTCCCTGGCCCACCAGCCCTGACTCTCAGCACTCTATCCAAGCCACCAGTCCTGCTCCCAGCCTCACACCCAACTCCAAGGAAAGAGGAATTCCTCCACAGGGAAGGCTGGCAGGTGCTCCCTGCACTCCACCCCTCCACAGTGACCCCTTCCCAGCCTCAGCACCCCATACCCACCCAGACCTGTGTGGCCCCCTCCTGCCTTGCTCCACATCGGGCCCTCACTTCCTGGTCACACTCACTACCAAGGTCCATTGACTCCACCCCAAACTCCACAAAATGCCCACCCCTCCTTCCTGGATTGCCAGGGTACTCGGCTCCCTCCACCCACAACCACCTACAGCCAGGTCCCTATGCAGAGGCTAAGGCCACTCTTCTGACCTGCACACGAGGTCAGCGCTGCCCAGATCCTGGCGGGAGTCCCCATATCCTGTCCTGGCCTCCACTGCCTCTGGAAAAGTCTCACCACACCCTGCCTAGCAACTGGCAGCCAAGCACTGGGCTAAATCTAGACCCTGTTACTCTGTAGGCAGATGACTCTGATGGGGACACTCCCTTTTCCTAGCCTCAGTTTCCCCATTTGCAAAAGGGGCATGAAAGCTCTTTTCTCATGGATGAAAGAGGAAAGGGCACACCTGCCCACAAGGCATAGTCAGCAGTGCCACCCCCTTGGTTGTCAGTAGGGCCTGCTGCCCTGGATGTGCCTGATGTGCTGGGGCCTCTCACCCACTCCTGGCTGGAGCCGGCTACAGCAAGGCTGAGTCCTGAGTCTTGAGTTCAAGCCTCAGCCAGCCAGTTTGCACAGACCATCCCAGACACCCCTTGTATGGTCTGGCCCCATTTTACAGATGGGGAAGCTGAGGCCTGAAGATGGATGCCTTCTCCAAGTCTACCAGGGAGCTGGGCACAGTCCCATCAGCCTCTGTGCCTGGTGCCCACATGCAGTGTGGGGCTGCCTGCCCCTCCCCCAGGCCTCTGTGCCCCTGTCTCCACTCCCCGCCCTGCTCAGTCACCCTGTTCTCATCTGCAGCACAGGACTCGTGAAGGGTCTCTATTACTTATTGCTCCCATTCTCCCGGCCAGAATGGCTGCCCTGTGAGAGCAGGGCCTGGCTCTGGGTGGTTGCCACTGCATCCCCAAGCCAAGCCAGGGACCCAGGAAGACTCAATAAATCCCCGTGAGTGAGCGAATGAATGAAGGGTATGCGGAGGGCCAGCCAGGTCTGGGTGCGGCAGCCCCCCATGCTTCTTCACTCCTGTTTCACTCCCCACACACTCCCTGCCCAGTGTGTGCACAGCACACACCCACTGCTCAGGTGGGGAAACCGAGGCTCTCAGAAGCAAAGAGCTTTGGCTGGAATCCCAGAGCAGGAACTGCAGGGTGCTCCTAGCAGGCTGCCAGCTGCCTTTGCCGGACAGCGCCCCAAGAACAGCAGGGGAGGAGTCCCCACTCCCGCCCCCGCCTCAGAGCTCAAGGAAGACCCGGGAGCCAGAAAACAGGCTCCTCACAGTGGCAGTGGGGCCGGGGCTGGGAGCTGAGCACATGTGAACTCCAAAGAAAACATGAATCACTCACCGTTTATCAGTTCAAAGCAGGCCTGCAATTACCAGGGGCTGGGCTCTCCCCTCCTCTGGGATAATTATACACGTCTTAATGCAATTATGGGCCCTACTTTTTGTATTCAACAGGAGGGACCAGGCTAAGAAGCCACCATCCAAACTCCAGCCTGGTCTTGGGCCCACCGCCCCAAACTCCACCCTCACCCCACTGCCCCAACAAAGTCTGCTGGGAAGGGACTTGCCTGGGGTCACAGGGTTGCCGGCCAAGAAAGGGGGAGCCCCGAGCCTAGGGCTGGGTCCCTCATGCCCAGCATCTAATAAAGGCCAGTGACAATGCTTGGGCCACTTCTTCCACCTTAGGGGTATAAGACTTGGGGCTCAGACTCAAGGTCACCCAACTAGTCCCAGCAGGGCAGGGCCCAAATTTCGAGCTTCCAGAGACTGGACCAGCCAGCCAGCCTGCAGGGCTCAACTCTCATAGGCTTGGGTCTGCCTAGGAAAAAATGCATTCATTCCAAAGCTGGGCCCAGGTGCCAGGGTGCCAGGGGCCCATGCCGGGGCTAGGAGGGGAGCATGGGCAGATGCTGCACTCTACCGAGGAGCAGAGCTGGCCACTGTGGCCGGGGAAAGGCCTCAAGAGAGGACCAGGTAGCCTGGGAGCTGGTGCAGGAGGGTGGGCATTCGTGGTGGGGGTGGGGGGCAGAACAGGAGGAGCAAAGGCCTGGGGTGGGAAACACTGGCTGTGCAGAGGGCAGTAGGAACGGCTGTGGCTCTCCGGCATGGCCAGAGCTGTTCTAGGCTGAGGCAGAGCCAGAGCCAGGGCAGGGGAGGCTAGACTGGCCTTGGGATGCCGATGGGGCTAGCCAGGGAGAGAGAGGCGGAGAGAGACCCCGCGGTCTGCGTGCAGGAGCCCCAGCCCAGGGGCTCCTCTCCTGGACAGGAGGGGATCGCCGCCTGGTGGAACGCCAAGCCAACAGTGTCCCCTTCCCTTTCCTGGCCTGAGTGACACCAAAGCTCCTTCTCACCCTGAGAAACAAAGGCCCCCAAAGCCCTCCCCACAAGGAAGAGTCCAATCCCCCCAAGTCCTCCTGCGCCAGATCCTGCTATGGCTCAGGCAGGTTGGGGTGTGGGGCTGCCATCCTGCCCAGTGGCTCACAACAGCAGCCGGGGGGGAAGACAGCTGCTCCTGGCACTCCGCCTCCCCCACAACGGGGGTCATGGGAGGTGGTCCCAGTGGTTCTGCTCCCGACCAGTCCTAGGGGATCCGGCTCTGAAGGCCTTGGAGTCCTGCTCCTGAGAAAAAGTGCCTACCTTTGCAGGCCTTCCCCTGGGGCACCCGCTCCTCCCGGCCAGCTGCTCTAAGCTGCTCTGTGCACGGGGGCTTTCCTGGGGGCTCAAAACAGGCAGGCAACGACCTTGGGGGGCCAGGAGTCCAGCAAAGGGCTGTCTGCTTTGTCCACAGGCACCTCATGTGTCCCCCACCCCCAGAGCACACACTGAGGCCACAAACCCAGGCCTCCGCCCATGCTGTCCTCTGCCCAAAACGCCCTTCCTGGGCCCCACTGGCACCCCCCAGGAATGGAAGCCTGGCCCTGCAGCGAATCACTGGTTCACATGCCTGCCTCTGGCAGGGGGCTGGGTGCTCCTCAAGGGCCGGGCAGCATCTTGGTGCCCCTGGTGCAGCACCTGGCCTCTGCCGCACACCCCAAGCCGCAGGAAATCGAGGGGACCTGAGGCAAGCTCCTCAAGGGCCCGGGGAGCAGAAACTGCGCCCCATCCCTGCACCGACCCCCAAACCGGCTACGTGTGAAAGGAGATGGGGCAGCACGGAGCAGCCTGAGCCACAGGAGCCGCGCTGAGGGGACAGAGGCTCGACCACGTCCCCTCCCCGGCACACACACCCCTTTCTTTCAAGGGGCGTGGCCCCAGAACCCCACACAGGAGCCTGGGGCAGATCGCCGCCCGGGGCCGCCCCTCGGAGCCCCTCCCCTCCTTTCCAGGGCTGCACCTGGGACCTCACGCCGACCGAGGGGCCTCCCTGGAGTCCCCACTCCCCCTTCCCCTGGCAGCCCGGGATCGGCCCGCTGCCTCCAGCTTCGCCGCACATCAGGCCCGGGACTATCCAGGAAGCAATCGGAAGCCTCCGGGAGAAGCGGCTGACCCTGGAGAGGCCCCGAGAGGGGGAGGCCAAGGAGGCCCGAGCGGGGCGGCCTCCTGGGCGGCACCCAGAGCCCACCTCCCCGCACTCCGGGCCAGTGGGAGCGGTGGCAGCTGTGGTCGGGAAGCCGCTCCAACTTCCACCCCGCGCCCCAGGGCCGGCCGGGGGCTTAGCCTGCACGACCTCCTCCGGCCCCCGCGGCCCTGCTGGGAGGCTCCGATCCCTATCCGGGCCTGGCCACCCCGTCCTCGCCCGCGGCCAGAGGTCTGAGCCGAGGTCCAGCGGCCGGGACGGGCCTGGACACCGCAGGGGCCTCCCCGCGGGGCCGCCGCAAACTTTCTCCCCAGCCTCCGTGGAGGGGCAGCGCCCGCCCCCCGCCACCCCGGAGCTGCCGCGGGGCTCGGCGGGCCCGGCCGGGGGGCGGGGGAGGCCGCGGCGCTGGATCCCGGGCCGCGGTCCCAGCCCCGCCGCACGGGGGTGCGGTCTCTCCGCGTCGGCGCCGCGACCGCGCCCGGACACACGCGGACGCCTGGGCCGGAGCCGCAGGGACACGCGGGCCGCGGACACGCGCGCCGCAGTCCCCACGCGCGCCGCAGTCCCCGCGCACACCCCCTGCCTGCCGCCTCACGAGAGGGCCGCCGCCGGAGGCCGCCCCGCGCCCACCCACGGGCCGCCCGGCCCCGGACCCCAGCCCGGCCCGGCCCCCGCCCACCGTCCCGCGCCGCGGGGAAAGTTGCGCCCCGACTCACCCGCCGCCCCGGGGCGCGCCCCGCCGCCGGCCATCGCCGCGCCCAGCCGCCCGCGCCGCCGCCGCCGTCCGCCCCGCCGCGGGGCCGCCGAAGCCGCGTAGGCCGCCCAGGCCGAGGCCGCCGCCGCGCCCGGGCTCCGCTGCGTGGCCGCGCAGCCGATGCCCAGCATGAATGGGGCGCCGAGCGCCGCGCGGCTGCGGACCGGCCTCGCTCTCGCCGCCCGCGGAGCCCCGCGCCGCGCGCATGCGCCGCCCAGAGCCCGGGGGCGGGGCGGGGGCGGGGCCGGCGGCGGCCTCCAGAGGGCGCTCTGCCCCGCGCCGCGCGCCTGCAGGGGCCCACCGCGCGTCTTCAAAGGGCGATACGGCTGCCCGCCTCAACTCTCTGGGCGCCGGGGCCGCGCGGGCAGTTCCGGGAGCCCCCCGCTCTCGAGCGGGCTAGCCCGCGACCCCAGGAACAGGGCCTGGCTCAGTGTGCCCAGGCTAGGAGCATGGCCTCCTTTCACGGGGGGGGAAACTGAGGCTGAAGGAGGCAATCGCAGTTCCCAGACCTTGCGGGGCCGGGTGTTCCCAGCTCTCGGCCTCGCGCGTTCCGCTCTGTCAGATGGGCGGGCACCTGCGCGGGGAGCCCGGGCGCCCCCTGCAGGCCCCAGGCTGGTGGCGCATTCCCGGCTGGGGACGCAGCCCAGGGAGGAAAGTCCCGCGGCAGAGGCGTGGCGAGACGCGAACTCCGGCTGTAGCGTGGGGCAGCGGATCTACACGGTGTGAGGTGTGGGGCTGCAGAATCCAGGGTGACGGGCCAGAGCTGTCCAGGCAATACCCCCAGCCTGCATGGCAAGGCTGAGGGGCAGACACCCAGCACTCAGTTACTGTACTCACAACCGCCACTCCCAGGCAGGAGGCATCCGGGAGGGCCTCCCGGTGGACGCAACCAGGCCAAGGAAGGGGAAGCCGGCAACAGGAGCATCGATAACAGAGCAGATGGGCCAGGAAAACCCCGTCGTGGGAGGGCTGAGTCCCGGCTGGGGACTTGGCCCCCATCTGTAGCCTGAGGGGTGCGGTTTTTGCTGTGTGAATCACGTCACCCCTACAGAAGAGGAACTCTCTACAGTTCACATGGTTAACAGGGAAAGGGAATGGACTCATACCGGGCCCAGGTGTCCCTCCGCGTCTCACCCCGCTCCTCCCTCCCCAGGAGCAGCCACAACCCTCATTTTTGTGTTCATCTTTAAGTGCTTTTCTTTGGGTGTGACCTCTTATATTTGCACCCCAGAATGGGACGCTGTTTTGGGTGGCTTGTTCTGGGCATTACAGAAACGGGGTCACTCAGCCTGTGCTGTTTGCTCTGTCTGCTCTGTGTGGTGAGGGCACAGGGCAGCTGCTCGCAGGCATCGTCTTCGCAGCCTGTTTTGTTGGGCTCCTGCTCGCCCATTCTCCTGCCGATGGACATGGGATTGTCGCCTATCTGGAGCCATGATGAGCAAAGCTGTGATGAGCATCCTGTGTGTGCCTCTCGGTGGGCACCTTTAGATCCAGGGACGGTCTGCAGGGTCACGGGGTAGGATTTGTCTAGCTTCAGGAGATACAGCAAAACCGTCTTCCCAAGTGACAGCCCCAGTTTACACTCCCAGCAGCTTAGCAGGAGTGTGGAAGGGTCTGGCTGTCCCACATCCTCACCAATATTTGGCACTCTTTAGTTTTGCAAATCTAGTGGCATGAACTGGTTTTTCAACTAGGTGGTTTTGCTTGTCTGCTTTTTTTTTTTAGAGACAGACAGGGTCTCGCTCTGTCACCCAAGCTGGGATGTTGTGGTGCAATCAGAGCTCACTGTAACCTCAAGCTCCTAGGCTCAAACCATCCTCCTGCCTCAGCCTCCTGAGTAGCTGGGACTACAGATGGGCACCACCATGCCTGGCTAATTTTTTTTTTTCAAGAGATGAGGTCTCTATGTTACCCAAGCTGGTCTCAAACTCCTGGGTTCAAGTGATGCTCCCACCACAGCCTCTCAAAGTGTTGTGATTAAAGGCATGAGACACGGCACCCAGCCTCATTGAGTCTTACTGTGTCGCCCAGGCTGGAGTGCAGTGGCTCGATCTCAGCTCACTGCAACCTCCACCTCCTGGGTTCCAGTGATCCTCCCACCTCAGCTTCCCGAGTAGCTGGCATTACAGGCGTGTGCCACCATGCCCAGCTAATTTTTGTTTTGCCATGTTGGCAAGGCCGGTCTCAAACTCCTGACCTCAAGTGATCTGCCCGCCTCGGCCTCCCAAAGTGCTGGGATTACAGGTGTGAGCCACCATGCCCAGCCTCATTGTGGTTTTAACTTACATGTCCCTGAATGAGGCAGAACATCTTCCTCAAAAGTTATATTTATTATTTTATTTCCCAAGCACTAATACAGTGCTGGCTCTGCTACCTTCTACAGATGGGTGGGCTGAGGCTGGAGACGTGCTCAAGTTCCCCAGTGGATAGGAGGCCGGGCTGGGAGGCTAATCCCAGGAGTCTGGCTTCTCCAGTCTGTGGTCTTGACCCAGCCACTGGGCTGTACTTCCCCTCCCTTCCCTGGCAAACAAGACTGGAGCGCTTTCTTTCCTCACGGACTACCGAGGCACACGTGTGGGCGCAAATCCATCCTCATGGCTGGTGAAGGCAGAGCAAGTCCTGACTGCTCTCCGAGCCTCGATTTCCTCATCTGTGAAATGGACGTGAGAGCTTGCAGAGCTGTGGTGAGGGACACAGTGAGTGTGGACACCATGGCTGACCTCGGGGAATGTTCACCAGCTCTTGTCTGCGCCACCTGTCACCAGCACCAGGGGCTGTCCCTGCTGTCTGCCTGTTCCCGCCCTTTTGCCCCAAGGCAGACACTCCTCAAGGAGCTTCCTGCTCTGTACTCACGGTGCCCAGGAGAGCCTAGGCCTCTCCTCTGTGGTAGAGCCCCCTGTCTCCAGCTGCGTCTTGGGAAGGTCCAGGGCCGCTGGAGTCTACGTGTCCAGGACCAAGCTCCTGGTTAACCAGGTGCCTCCCTCATTTTCCCCATCTCTGCGAAACATGCCACATCCCCCAGGTTGCCCTACTGGGAACCTCCATGCTCCCCATGTCCCCTGCATCCCTCAGCCTGGTGGATTCTTCCCAAAAATATATTCCAGAACTTTCCACTTCCCTCCATCCCCACTCTGGGCTCCTCAGGAAGGAGCACCTCCTCTCTGCTCTGCCTGCTGTACTTGGTAACACCTTTCTGTCCAGTCCCCAGACAGCAGCAGCAAAAGCCATCACAGTGAGAATCTGCTCATGTGACCCTCTCATTATGCCCTGGAATTCCTTCTCCCATCATGAGCAACTGTGGATTCCAGGTGGCCTAGGTCTCAGCGCCACACAGAAAATTCTAAGGTTTTTAGGAGACCAGAGAGCAGATTCGCTTCCTGTCCCTGGGCTAGGGGAGGATTTCATAAACAAGATACTAAAAAAATAAAGAAAGGAAAATATGAGTCAATTTGACTACATTAAAATTAGTTACTTTTGCTCATTAAAAGTTATAAATAATGAAATAATGAGACAAGTCAGGATCTAGAAAGAGATGGCTTATAACACATCTAATTGTCAAAGGATGTGTATCCTGAATATATAAAGAACTCCCAAGAGTCAATAAGGAAAAGGCTGTGCCGCCACAGGAAGGTGGGGAGAAGACTGCACAGGCAGTTTGTGGGGACAGAGGCAAGTGCCTCTTGCTATGGATGGGCTGTGTGAGGCAGGCTCTAGAGCCCCTGCGGCTCTTGTCTGGCCCCGGCAGCAGCTGCCCTCTGTTTAGCTCTGAGCTCCTGGTGTGACCACACTGGGTCCTGACACTGCCCTCTGAGGAGGGACTGCAGCACCCCAAATGCAGACAGAGAAGTTGGAGGTGAGCAACCTTGGAGGAGCTGGGGTTGGAGCCGGGGTCTGTGACTTTGGGGCTCCTGACCCCACATCAAATAGAGGGGAAGTGACTCAGCAGGCTGCTGGGCTCTTCCCTCTGGGTTTCCCATGTTGGTTTAGCTTCTGTTTGCCTTCGGCAGCTCAGAGGGCTGGGGAGTTTGTAGAGTAGTGCAGGAGATTCCTAGGAACATGGTTCCATTTCAGGGGGGTCTGGAGAGGAGCTTCTTTTGGTGCTTTCCCATGCTCCTGCCCCTGGGGCAGCTCTGGGGACTGTTCTGCATTTGTACGAGTCAGAGCTTTCTGCAAAAGTATACTTGGGATCTCCTTCCCCTTGAGGCAGCCCCACTGCTACTGGGTGAGGAAGGAGATGGGGAGGATCCAGGCACCCCCAGCTCTGGGGAATGGCCCTCAGATCCCTGGTCACTGGGTTCAAAGCTGGTTGGGGGGGCATCTGGATTCCTGCCTGAGCCCACTTTGGAACTGGCACCACCACTGCCAAATATTCCTAACCCATCCTTGTCTCACTTCCCCTGCTTCTGTCACCTCCTGCCTGGAGGACATGGGGACCCTTAGTTGCCAGCGCAGTCCTCCCAACTCTGCTCTCCACACTGTGGTCCACAGGGATCTAATAGACAGCTGGGGAGACCCCTCTGCTCAGACCCTCTAGTGGCATCTTTTAACACATGAAATGCCTCCACACATGTGCACACATACGCACACACACACTCAAACATACAAACACACACATACACTCATGCAAACACACACACAAGTGCAAACACGCATGCAAGCACACATGCACACACAGGCACACGCATGCATATACTCAAACATGCAAGCACACACACACATGCAAGCACACACACATGCAAGCACACACATGCACATCCACTCACACATGCAAGCACACATACACACGCTAGCACACACATGCAAGCAGATACACACAGGCACACTCACACACACATGCACACACACATGCAAGCACACATGTACATTCACACATGCAGGCACACACGTACACTCCACCATGCAAGCATGCACACATATACTCATATGCAAGCATGCACATGCACATCCACTCACACATGCGAGAACACGCACACTTGGACCTGCTTCCCACCTCTCTCCTTCCCGTGCACACATGCCAACCTCCCTGTCCCTTGGCACACAGGTTCATCTTCCCCCTATGTCTGTGGCACTTACACCCATTCTCCCACCTGGGAGACCCTGGGTGGCCCTCCTCCCTCTGACTTCCCGTGTCACCACTTTATTGTCACTGTTCCCTCCCTTGTCCTCCCTGCTTATGGTGTCAGGGCCTTGTGCACTTTGTTGTCACCCTGCCTGCGGCCTGGCATGGAACAGATGCCCCCTGTGCCGGGTCGTGAGTGTGGAGCACTGTGGTCATCTCAGCTCATCCCCACATGCCCCTGTGGGGTCAAACTGTGAGCCTAGGCCCACAGGGAGCCGCTGACAGTGGACGTAGGGGCAAGATGGAATCACTGTTGCATTCTAGGAGGCCCACTTTGGCCACTGGGTGGAGAGGACATTGGGAGCTAGCATGGATGTGGGGAGACTGCTGACTATTGCAGAAGCCTGAAAAGAGGTGATGCCTATGGTTGGTGTTCACGGACTCATCCTCCAACTCTGAGGGTTTTGCCTGATTATCCTCCCTACACAGGAGGAGAAGGGCTCAGCCCAGCTGCAGGCATGCCAAAGAGAAGGCTCACCCAGCACCATTCTCTGCCCACCCCTGCTGCTGGTTGCAAGTGACAGAAACCCAACTGGACGTAGGCTCCAAGAGGCATCTATTGGCTCAAATGAGCAGCAGCTCAGACCTACAGGATCTTGGGCACAGCAGGGTTCTGCTGGCCACTGGCTTGGTTCATGCCCACACAGCCCTTCTGCTCCTGGTGGCCTTGGCAGCTCCAAGCTTTTCTTTCCTCATAGGTCCAGGAAAGTTCCCAGAATGAAGCCTCAGTGAACCAGATTGGATCGTGTAGCCCCCTTGAACCCATCACTGTGGCCCTATAGTTGGCTGAGATCAGGGACCTCTCCAGAGTGAGTAGGTGGAACTGGGGAAGTGGTTACCCCAAAGAAAATCCAGGTGCAGTTTTCAAACAAGTGGGCCTGGATGCAGGACAGGTCAAACCCACCAGGAGCCACTGCAGCCCCGATCTGCACCTCCACAGCCAGCACAGCCCACCCGCTGTCCACCTTCCGCCACATCCAGCTGGGACCAAATGCTCAGCACGCACAAGGCAGGAATCCACGTGCTTATCCGCTGAGCTCCTCTATGAGGTGGGCAGACTGCTGTCACCCATCTACACATGTGGACACAGCAGCAAGTCAGGGGCTGTTCTGACCAAGGCCACAGCCAGGTGGTGGTGGGGCCCAGTTTCCAGAGCAAGTGGTGTGGCTCCCCTGTGGGCGCTGCAACCCATGTTCTGCCATGTGGCACAGTGGGTAGTGTGGAGATGCCTGCGCTCAGGACCCTGTGGGGCCAACAGGCCACCCTACAGCCATGTCTCCCTGGTACCCAGTGCTCTTTGCACACTGTACTCTTGCTCCAAAGACACCTCCACATCAGGCCTTTCCTCATGCTGTGCTCCTGGCCAAGAGGGTCCCCACCTGGCCCTTTCCTCTTTATTTTTATTTTTATTTTTTTTTAATTTTGTAGAGATGGGGTCTACCTATCTTGGCCAGGCTGGTCTCAAACTCTTGGACTCAAGTGATCCTCCTGCCTCAGCCTCCCAAAGTGCTGGGATTAAGGCGTAAGCCACTGTGTCCAGCCACCATTCATTTTTCAAGGCCCAAGCTCCTTCTCCCCTCCTCCAGGAAGCCTCTCTGCAGCCCCCACCCCACCCCAGGAGCCCTCCTTGGCTTCCTTTCCCTTTGACCACTCTGGGCGTAGGTCTGTCACCACCCCACTCCCGGTCTGGAGACAAAACCAGGTCAATGTCAATACTTTATTGCACAAAAGACAGAGTAGCAGAGTCCCTCCCCCTGCCCCCCACCTGCCCACACACATGCAAGCAATCCCTGGAGACTGGGGGGACTTGGCACTGCCTCCTCCTGGGGCTGCAAACTCAGATGACTTCAGGGGCCAAGTAGTTGATGGAGGTAAATAGTGAGATGGGCCAAATGCCGGAGCAGGCCAGGGCTGCAGCAGCAGTAATCGGTGGAATGCATGCACATGTTATTGGGAGAGTGTGGAGTGAACAAGACCTTTCAAAAGTGTGAAGATCCCAGCCAGCAGGCCTCCAGTTTGCAGTCCGTGGCTCAGTCCAGCTCCTACCACTCCCAGAATGCTGCTTGTCATCCTGGGGGTCACAGTCAGGTCACCAAAGATGTTCCCAAGTATGGGAGCCCTCTCCAGGGCCATAGCCTCTGGAAAAGCCATCCCTGGCACCCTCTTTTTAAGGCCTAGCAGCCCTTGCCCCCACTGCCCTGCCAAGAAGCAGGGCAGCAAGAGATCAGCCTCCTGCTTCCCTGGAGATGAGGGAAGCAACCCAAGTTTTCTCATTGTGCTAAAAACACCTGGGTTAAAGTGGGGATGCTGGGTTTCCCTCCCCCATTCCTGATGTAATGGGGCAGCACCCCTCTCTGTCTACCATATGGGGTCAGGAGAGGCCAGCTGTGAAACAGAAGATTGAAATGTAATCCAGAGTCTCAACATACAATACCCCAAACTTTCAAGATCCAATAAGAAAATCACCTGTCATAGCAAGAACCAGAGAAATGTCAGTTGTACCAGAAAATACAATCAGCATACACCAATACTGGTATATGTTGAACAGGAAGGAATATCAGGATTACCTGATGAGGCTTTTAAAGCAGCCATCCTAAAGGTGCTTTGATGAGCAATTATGAACATGCTTGAAACAAATGAAAATAAAGAATGTTTCAGCAAGGAAATAGAAGTTATAAAGAGAACCAAATGGACACTTTAGAATTTTTTAAAAACATACAATAATCAGAATAAAAACTTAATCGATAACTCCAAAGCAGAACAGAGGGGACAAAGGAAAGATGCAGTGAACCTGGAGATAGAGCAATATAAACCACCCAGTCTGAAACAGAGAGAAAATAGACTAGGGGTGGGAGAAAAGAGTTCTCTGAGAGATAACAAAAGATCTAATATTCATGTCATCTAATTGCCAGGAGGAGAAGAGAAAGAGGACAAAGCCGAAAAAATATTGAAGAAGCAATCTCCTAAACTTGGCAAAAGACATAAATGTAAGGATTTAAGAAGCTGAATGAACTCCAAACGTTATAAACCCAAGGAAATCCACACCAAGACATATCACAGTCAGACTTCCAAAAACTAAACAACAACAAACCCCAATTTTGAAAGCAGCCACGTAACCACCTTCCAAAAAACATGGATGTCTCATCAGAAAGCATGGAGGCAAGAAATAAGTGGAACGTTTTTAAGTGCCATAAGAAAAGAGCTGTCAACCATAAATTCTATACCCAGTGAAACTATCCCTCAGGAATGAGGAGGAATCAAGACCTTCTCAGGTGAAGGGAAAAGTAAGTTTGTTGCCAGCAAACCTACTGTGAAAGGAGGGCCAAAGGAAGTTCTTCTCATGGAAAGAAAGTGATAAGGAAGGAATCTTGAGACATCAGGAAGAAAGTACAATGGAAAGAGCAAAACTATGGGTAAATACAATGGACCCCTTCTCTGAAGGTTTCTAAGTTACATTTGGTGGTTGAAGCAAAAATTATAGCATTGTCGAATGTCTCAATGTATGTAGAAAAAATATTTAGGATAATTATATTATAAATGGAAGGGGAAAAGGGACACAAAGAGAGGGAAGCTTTCTACATGTCACTCGAAATGGTAAAATGTTGATGGCAGTAGACTGTGATAAGTACATATGTATAATGCAGTATGGCAGCCACTAGAAATCTATACAAAGATATACACTAAAAACACTGTACAAAAACCAAAATAGATGCTTAAATATGTCCAAGTAACACTCAGCAAGGCAAAAAAAAGAAAATAGAGAAACACCACCACCAACAAACACAGGAACAAACAAAGCAAAAAATAAAACAGCAGACTGAAGTTATGTCAGTAATTACAGAAAATGTAAATGGCATAATTCCATTTATATAACATTTTTGAAATAACAAAATCATAGAGATGGAGAGGAGATTGGCGGCTGCCAGGAGCTGGGGTAGGGGGGTGATTGTCACTGTGAAAGGGAGTACCAGGGGGTCTCCATGGAGAGGGAACAGCTCTGTATCCTGGTTACAGGGACAGAAACATGGATCTCCATGTGTGATAAAGTGACACAGGGCTTGACACCCTTGTCACACCAGTGCCAATGTCCCTTTTCTGATGTGTGGTGGTTATGTAGAATGTGACCATTGGGGGAAACTGGGTGAAGGGTACACAGGCTTCTCTCTCTATTATCTTTCCAACTTCCTGTGAATCTGTAATTGTTACAGATTATCATTATTTCAATATAAAAAGTTAAAAAAAATACCTTTGCTGTTGCTCTTACACCAGCACCAACTCCACTGCTGGCGTTTCCTCTTGGGCAGAACCAGTGCCCTGTGCACCCCCATAGAGCTCACAGGCCAGCAGGCCTCTGGGGGCCATACCCAGCAGAGGCCATCACAGCAATCCTGGGCTGGGCTGCCTGGTCCCAGCTCCCAGAGCCATCTCTTCCTTCTCCAGGCCTCAGAGCTCATATCACCTCTTCAGAGGAGCCCCGATTGATTCCCTGATGGAAAATGCATCCCAGTCCCATTTAACCAACTGATAGTCTCTGGTCCATTCAGCTGTTTATTATTCCGGCCCCACAAATAGCAGCTCTGCAAGCCAGGGAGCCCATCTTCTCAGGGGCACAGAGCCTGGTGCCAGGCAGAGCATCCATCAGGGGCTGTGGGGGTGCAGTTGCTATCAGTTGCTGCAGCATCACAAGTCGCCCTAAAATGTAGTGGCTTCAGCCAGTAGCTGCTCTTCTCTCTTATGGTCTCTGCAGGGAATTCAGAGAGGACAGTGGGAAAGGCTGGTCTCTGTCCCAGTGTCCGAGGCCTCAGCTGGGACTTGCACAGGCTGCAGCTCCTCACCCACCTGTCTGGCAAGACTCCCCTGGGGCGGGGCTCTTTGGCAGCTCTGTCTAGCTCTGTGGGGCCTTTCCACAGCCTCTCCAGCATGGTGGCTTCAGGGCAGCCGACCTTCTTATGTGTCCATGCACAGCTCCCATCCAGGGGGGCAGGGAGAGGAAGTACAGAGGAGGAGAAGCGGGGGTTTGGGGCTCAGAAGCCTGGAGGGCACCACCGCTGGGCTACGCTGCATCAGGCAGATTGGTGACAAGCCCCATGGCTCTCCAGGGAACAGAGCACAGCCCCCTCTTCTGGCAGGGGTGACAGGCCCACTGTGCATTGCAAAGCCCTGCAGGACGGATGTGCAGGGGAGGCAGTCTTTGGAAAACACAATCTGCCACCTGACCAGCAGCAGGCTGCCTCCAGGGGCCTGAGCTGCTAGCCTTGGATTCCAGCCCCAGCCATGGAGAGCCTGCTGGGAGCCCCCTACCCACCCCCAGCCCCATGCATGCCTCTTTGCAGCAGCCTGCACTATTGATGGGTTGGTGCATGGGTGGGAGTGGAGCTGGAAAGGGAGGGTGGGAGTTTGGGGATCTCTTCTAACCGCCATGCCATACTCTGCCTCAGCCCTATGGAGCAACCCTGGCCCAGCGGGGAATGCCACCATGGCAGCTGGGGGCTCATCTGAAGGAGCACAGGGTTTGAAGGCAGCAACATGGGGTCCCCTCCCGACACCATCCCTCAGTGCCTTTTCGGGACCACACCACAAATCACGTGGCCCTGGGGTCTCTGTGAGGACCAGAGCAAAGAAATTTGAAGGGCCGGCCCTATGCCAGGTTCCCCAAGGCATCTTGACCACCGGGTGGGTGGGGAGGGGCCACGACTGCCCCCTTTACATGGATGAGGAAACCAAGGCATGAAGAAGTGACAGGCCCCAGGGGCATACTTGGCAACTGCTCTGGACAGCCACAGACGGAGCCACAGAGGCCCCCGGAGGAAGCAGAGAGTCGCCCTCCCCCTGCCAGCCTCTCTTCCTACCCTACCCCCACCCTCCATCACGGGGGTGCTTTGTGCTTTCCCCGGTTCACCACGAGCTTTGCACATGATGCTTGTTCTGCTCCTCTGTTCTGGAGACAGAGGGAACAACTTATTTCCCCTGAGGTCACCCTGCTGACCTTCCTCCAGCCCCCGCACAGGCTCCTCCTCTTCTGGGAAGCCTGCCTTGAAGCACCCGCCCACCCGGCCTGGGTTGGGAGCAGCTGCAGCTCACCACAGGGCATCACCCCTTGTCCTGGGCCTGCGTCAGAAGCAGAGGTGTCCCGAGGCCCTGGTGTTGCCAGCATGGTCTGCATTCCACAGAAAATGCGCAGGCAGAACCAGCCCAGCTCTCCTGTGCCCTCAGAAGCCCAGGCCAACCGAGTTGCCCACCCTTCCTGGGCACGTGGTGTGCCAGGTACCAGCCCCAGGGACGCAGGCCCACTGAGGAGGGGGCAGCAGGGCAGCGAAGGGAGGAGCTGGACCTGAACACACAGCACCTAGCTCCAAGCCCCATGGCCTGGAGACCCCATCCAGATGGCAGAGCTTTTTGGGCTCAAGGAATAAACACCAAAATGTTTAAAATATTTAAACATTTAAACATTTAACAGCCAAAGCTAGGTGCAGTGGCATGCGACTGCAGTCCCAGCTACTTGGGAGGCTGAGGGGGGAGGATCACTTGAATTCAGGAGGTTGACTCCAGCCTGGACAACACAGTGTGACTCCATCTTTAAAAACTGAAAAATATGTATATGTTTAACAGCCAGTCAGAGTAGACACCGGACATAAACCATGGGCAGGACAGCACCGGAGGAAGCTGGCTGAAACCCGGCTTTGCTTCATCCCAAGGGACATTCATCAATGTGCTTCCCTGTCTGGCTTCAGGCAGGGCTGAATCCGGGGACTCCCATAATGTCACCAGGCATCTATTTCTTGGTTTCACCTTCCTCTGTGTGCATTCCCAGGTGTGGTGTCCCTACCTGACCCTTTGCTGCAGCCACTAGGAGGAAAATACAAGAGACTTTCCCCAACCTGGAACAGATGCTAGCAGTCTCCCCAACTTACAGCTGCACTCACCTCTCAACTTCACACTATAAGGTGGGGATGGTGTGGGGACAATTGCTCTGATATCACAGCCACCGCCGCCCCAAGTACACTTTACCCTTTGAGTTGTCTGGCCTTTTTTTTTTTTTAAGATGTTTTAATTATTAAAATATATGCTCGTTGTAAAAAAAAAATCCAAGAAATGCATAAAAGGATACAATGAAGTCGGCCTCCCTCCAGCACCTGCCCCCAGCTCACCAGAGCAAAAACTGATATGGGTGTCTCCTGTGTCCATGAAGAGACGTATACACTGTGTCCAACGTGCAGATACAGAGGGACATCCTGCCTCTCTGCAAAAAAACATACAAACTAAGAGCTGCTTTTAGATAGATCTCTCTCTCCTCCCTTCTTTCCTTCCTTTTTCCTTTCCCTTCTCCCTCTCTCCTTCTTATTTCCTTCACATACAATGCAGTCCCCAATCCTTAGGCACACAGCTCAATGAATGCATCTTTACACTTCTACACAAATACATGTGTAATCTCCACAAAACAAAGGTTCCTTCTGACCCCACCCCTCGCCCCCCAGAGAACCCCTATCCAGACTCCTTCACCATAGGTTAGTTTTGCCTATCTTTGAACTTCATATAAACAGACCCATCCAGTACCATGGCAGACATACTCCAGGTCTCCCATGAGTCAGATCTCTATAATCCCCCCCACCTTAAGTGTGTGACTTGCTTCCAAGCAATAGATTGGGCAAATGTGAAGGCATGTCCCTCTCATGATTATGTTACACATACAAGGGATCTCTTTGCTGGCAATGGAGAGTCTGTGAGCAAGTCTCCAGGCAGGGGACGACTGGTGGCCTCTAGCTGAGCTGATAGCAAAAAGACAGCCCATCGATCCTCCAGCAAGATAATGAATTCTGCCAATATCCAGGTGAGCTTGAATGAGGAGCCTGAGCTGCAGAGAGGAACCCAGGCTAGCCACATCTGGAGGGCAGTCTTGGACCTCGCTGCACCACACCAGAGCTCTGACCCACGGAAAGCAGGGGACAGACATATATTGCTGCAAGTGACTGTTTGTGGTCATTAGTTAGGAGGCAGCAGAAAGCTAATACAACCGTGAATTTTTCTGTATCTGCCTCTGTCTCTCACCGCGAGGTGTCTGAGAGATCCATCCATGTTGCTACAGGGAGCTCGAGTGTGTTCTTTTTCGTGATGCTGTAGTATTTCATCGTGTGAATAAACTACAACTTAACCATTCTACTTTCCATGGGCACTTGGGTTATTTTAACCTTGTGGCTGTGATGAGTAAGGCTCTATGAACATTCTTGTGCGTACTATTTAGAGGACATACATATTCATTCTCTTGGGTATTAACTCAGGAGTAAGATTGCTGCATCGCAGTGTAGGCGAATGTTTAACTTTGTAAGGAACTGGCAAGCCATTTTCCGAAGCAACTGTCATCCTTTCATACTCCTCACAGCAGCAGTGAGCCCCCGGGGGTTGCTCCTTCTCACTGACGCTGGGTATTGCCTGTCCTTTCACCTCAGCCATTGCTTGGATGTAGAAGCACTTCCTGGTGGTTTCAGTTTGCATCTCCCTGGTTAGTCGTGATGATGTGGAATAGTTTTTTTCTTATGCTTACTGGTCTCCCTGGAGGATTTTCTAATATTACTTTGTTAGTGCTAGGGTTTTTTTTTTTTTTTATCTGACCTTTAACCCTGAGCTGGAAGTTCAGGGAAAGAGAAATTCACCTTGTAAGGTGAGCATTGCTGGAGACTCTCACGGAGACACACGGGGTGCCTCACCTCATCTTGGCCTGGTGAGCCCCTCAGCAGAGGACCTTGCTAAGCTACACCAGAGCTTGGACCCATGGAAAGCTGGGAACAAAACAATGGGGACAGAAAGAGCTGGGCTGGAAGGAGAAAGCCCAGGTCCCAGTAACTGTGGTTAAGCCTCTAGATGCAGCTGGCCTGAAGCTCACTCCTGGACTTTTGAAGCCCACACATTCTTTGCGGTAGTCAGTTTCAGCGAGGGTTCTGTCACGTGTGCGGGAGGGGGTGACCGACACCGAGCCTCTGTCCAGCAAGCTGACATTTGGAGGCCCCCCAAGCTCTGCAGCATGGGAAAGGGTAGAGGGGATCTCTGCC
The DNA here is from genome assembly GCF_000001405.40 of Homo sapiens. Taxonomy (NCBI): domain Eukaryota; kingdom Metazoa; phylum Chordata; class Mammalia; order Primates; family Hominidae; genus Homo; species Homo sapiens. The sequence goes on along the minus strand of NC_000003.12, from coordinate 126,969,086 downwards.
TTCCAGGCACTCCCCCATCCCACCCACTGCTAGTCTGCACCCCACTTCATTACTGAGTGTGTTTTGAGGCTGAATAACCATGTAATTGGCTCGTCCATTTCATAGTCAAACTTCGGCAAATATGTTTTTCATAATTAGTTGATGTTTATTTAACGGGAATAACCAGCCCATTAAATTTAATGAGGCAGGTTATCACATATGAGGGGGAAGTGTTTTTCCTTATAGAGAACCCGGTTTGGGCGGTGCTGGTCCCAGGGCCAGGGCAATGAGGTGGCTCGCCTGTGTGTGGGTGTCTCTCCTGGGAGAGGAGGCGTGCAGGGAACCGCAGCCCCTGTCCCAGCCTGCTTCGGGCTGTCCCATCCCCTCTGCTTTTTCTGCATTGTGTACCACCCTATAGAACCTGTTTTTGATCTAGTCTGTCTCCCCCACTGATCTCTAAGCTCAGAGGACAGGGCTTTTCCCTCGTGTTGCTCATGCTCCATCTTCAGTAGATGAAACACAAAGGGTGAATAAACAACGGAGACCCCTCTTGCGGCTGCCACTCCCATGGCTTTATGGGCCTCCCTCTGGCACACAGTCGCCTCCTGCCTTGTCCCTCCTCCCCCTTCTCCTCCTCCGCAGGGTTTATGCCCTTGCCTCTCTCTGCTTGGCAGGCAGGGAAAGCAAAATACTCAAGGAGATCCAGGCTTGGCCTGGGGGCTGAACAGCTGGGCCCAGGTAGCACCCACTGAAGACCCCAGATGTGTCGGAAGAGCGGACCCCGGCCTGGCCACGACCCGACAGGCCCAGACTGTGGAAGACCATGTCCAACATCTACATTCAGGAGGCTTCTAGCCTGGGGGTAATAAACAAAATTCAGATTAACTTAGAAAAACAGAAAATACAGTCAATTATAAAACAAAAACCAAAACATCCATAATCCTATCCCCAGAGAAAAGCGCGATAACATTTTAATGTCTAATGCTGTTGACCTTTTTCTCTGGGCATCTATATATTTTTACATATGCATAGGTAAGATTTTTTTCATTTAAAGAATGGGTTTGTACAGTGCATGCTACTTCTTTAAATGGAGTGGAGAAAGTGCCACGTGAATACACTCAGTATCCCTATTCTTAGAGGCTTTAGAGCTGTCTTATGGAGGTACCACATTTTATTTCATCCCCTATTGTTGGGCATTTAGGTTGTTTCCAATATTTTGACACTATTATAAACACTAGTGGCACACACTTGTAGTCCCAGCTACTTGGAAGGATGAGACAAGAGGATCGCTTAAGCCCATGGGGTCAAGGCTGCAGAGAGCTAGGATCGAGCCACTGCACTCCAGCCTGGATGACAGAGTGAGATACTGTCTCTAAACAACAAAAGAACCCCCACCCCCTGAAAAAAGCATGAACAAAGCAGCTCCTTCACCTGGCTAGCACCAGCTCAGCCCTCTAACTTCGCATCACCTGGGCCAGGGGTTCTCAACTCCCGGGCTGTGGACCAGTACCAGTCCCTGATCTGTTAGGAACGGGGGCGGTGGGCGGCGAGCATTCCCTGAGCTCCGCCTCCTGTCAGATCAGAGGCAGCATCAGATTCTCATAGGAGTGCAAACCCTATTGTAAACTGCACATGCGAGGGATCTAGGTTGCATACTCCTTATGAGAATCTAGCTCATGCCCAGTGACCTGAGGGAAAACGGTTTCATTCTGAAACCATTCCCCACTGCCTCGACCCCATCCATGCAAAATTTGTCTTCTACAAAACTGGCCTCTTGTGCCAGAAAGGCTGGGGACCACTGACCTAGGCCAAGCCCTAAGGCCCTGAGCTTGGGGGCCTCACCACAATTGATGGCAAATGTCACCTTTCCTGCTAGATCCTAAGCCCATGAGGAAATGGACTGGTATCATTACTGCTTGGAGGGCACCTGGGATAGAATGGGGAGAGCGTAATGTTAGTTCTCTGTGTCCCTTGAGCAGCTGACTCAGAGATAAACCTGCAGGGCAGTTCTCAGGAGGTACCGGGGTCCACACCCATGTGGTGAGGGAGGGGGCAGTGGGCAGAGGGTGGGCTGGGCTAGCTCCTGAGTTGGGATCCGCTTCCAAGTCACTCCCAGTGAAGACACCCTTTATACCCCACCCCATCACCAGGCAAGGGATGAAGCCCCTGGCCCCCAGGGCGTACTGTTGGTGAAGTGGCTCTCAGCAGCCAAGGCCTTCCTGGGGGGCAGACTTGCCCTGCCTGTGTTCCCAACTCCATGAGCGTTCAGCTCCCTAAGGGGACGGTGCCTATGCCTGTCCCCACTTTACACATGAGAAAACAGACTTAGATGTTCAGGAGTGGCTCAAGGCTTGGATGCTCCGGCTCCAGGGTGGGCGCTCCAGGGCTATGTGTGAACAAAGGGAGGAGGCAGTGAGCAGACATCAGGACGAGCGCCCAGGACACAGGACCTGCACACATGCTTCCTTCCTTAGGATTCGTTCTTAGAACTAGAATTGCTATGCAAACGGTGTGCACATTCCCAAATCTCCAGTGATGATTCCGGATTGGGCTATTGCTTTTTCCATTCTGCCAGTTTGGCTTCCTGTATTTTGAAGCTCTGTGTTAGGTGCACGCATGTTTTATTTCGGGGTTCTAAGTCTTCCTGTGAGCTGTCCCTTCTGTTATTCAAAATGCCCCCCCTTTGTTGCCTATAATGCTTCCTGTCTCAGTCTGCTCAGTCTGATACTAATACAACCATTTCAGCTTTCTTACAGTTTGCAGGACTATCTTTTTCTATTCCTTTCTTGTCAATCAACTTGTGCTCTCATAATTAAGGTGATGTCTCTTGTAAATAGCAAACAGAGGAATGTTGTGGGGTTTGTTTTGCTTGTTTTTGTGAGTTTGCACACTCTGAAAGGCTTCGATGCTTTTCACCCAATGAGTCCTCCCAGAAGGTCTCAGTGATTCATCTCCTGTGGCAGCACCACGGTGACCACTTGGCACCTTCCTGGGTGCTCCCACTCCCCTCCTAGCCACCTGACTCTAGGCATCCGTGGCCACATCTGCACCTTTGGGGGTGGCAGTGCCACGGGAGGGTGAGGTGGCAGTGAGAGGCTGAGGCAGGACCAGTTTCTCCCACCTCACCTGGGCTGTTGTTCCAGGGCTCACAGCCACCTTGCTGGTGATGCCTGGCTTAGATCCCCGCCTGGGGTCACTGGACTTCCCCAGGCCAGTAATGATGTGGGAAGGAACAAACTTCAGCCATTTCTGCCAGGGGCCACCTTCCCCATCTGGAGAGGCGAGGGGAATGGACTGGCCCCTCAGCTGAGTCCCTGGAGCTGAGCGGAGTAAGACTCTGGGTGTCAGAGCCCCGCCCGGCACACAGCCAGGGCCCTGACTCCAACAGCAGGCACAGTTTGTTACTGGGCACAGGACTCTGGAGCCAGGCAGCTCCAAGCCCAGCCCTAGCTCTTAGACTGCATGATCTTCGGCAAATCACTCACACGCTGTGCCACAGTTTCCCCACTTATAAAATGAGGATAACAGCAGTATCTACTTCACAAGGTTGTGTGAAATCTTTACCAAGTAGGTATTTATAAAGGGCTCAGCACAGTACCTGGCACATGGTAAAGGTCTGATACATGCTCAGTTTGATTATCAGCACTATTCTCTGCAGGCTGTCCTGTCGACACAAGGAATAAAGGTGCACAGGTACATGCACACACCTGCCATTCCAGCTACATCTTACATGCCCACCCGAGCATAGGCACACATGCAGGCACACACACACTCAACACAGCCCACACGGTCCCACTAATGCGCCTTCCTGGGCCTTTTTCTCAGACCCACTCCTTTACCACAGGGGGTGGCCGGCAGCAGCTCCTAGCTGCCTCGGTTCCAGCTTCCCGCCATGGGAGGCACTAACTACGGCTAAGGGCAGAGCGAAGCCAGGGAATTTCCACCTCCTCTGCCACGGGTAGCTCTCTCAACAGCTGCTGTGTCTCCTCAGAGGCCCCAGCTTCCCTGTGCAGGGCCCCTGCGGTGCCAGCTTCCATTGGGTGATCTTGCCTCTTCCCTCTGTCTCTGCAGCCCCAGGTGGCGGGAGGTCCTATGGCTGCTGATCTGAGTTACCTCTCACACTATCCCATCTGGGTTTTCAGTTCCTCCATCTCCTTTGTGACCAATCCCTTGCATTCAACTCCCCCTGCTCAAAAGCAAGGGTGCTGTTTTCCTGGTTGGACCCTGAATGATACAACCAATGTCATCACCAAGCAACTGGTGGGATGAGTATTAATACTCCTGCTTAAGGGTCACTCAGCCAGGGCATGAGCCTGCAGCACCCGCCTCCAGGTGCACACCCTGCTGGACACACCCCTCACCTGTGCATTTCTCTCTCAGACCTGACCTCCTACCACACACGTGGAGGTACTGAGGTGTAGGTACACATGAGAGCACACACACATTCACATTCCAATGCAGTGTTACAGATGGCTCCAGCACACACACAGTCTCCAGCAGGGGAGGGGCAAAGATCTGGCTCTGAGAAAGTGGAGAAATGAGATGATATCCAGGCTGGGAAGAGCCCGTGAGGATCCGCAGGTGCCGAGCATGGCTGGCTGCTTGTGCACAAACTCAAGTACACATGCACAGACATGAACACATGTGAATGGACAGGTACACACACACATACCTATGCACATGCTTGCACATGTGTGCTGGCACACCATGCACTCACGTGTGCACACACATGGATACACACGCAGGATGGACATGTGCACACAGACCCATACACACACACTTGCGTACTTGGACACACAGTTCACATGAATGCACACACATTCGCACAGTCATCCTGCATGGTGGACACCGAGACCCAAGGAGAGGAATGCACAATGTCATGTGCACTGTCAGGAGCTCGTTCCCTCATCCCAATCCAAAGCCCCCAGAAAACAATGAGGGAGAAAGAAGTGGATAGAAATGGTTGAACATGCCCTGGTCCTTCAGGGGTGCTGGAGTTTGGGGAGTAGAGCCCCATCCACTGGAGCCCCCCAGGCCTGGCCTCCAGCCCCTCAGGTGAAGACTGTAGGGACTCACTCACAGGAGCCTCCAGCCTCTACCTAAAGGTGTGTAGCTGTGGGTGGGGGCACAGAGGGGTGGAAGTCGGAGCTGGGACCCTAAGGATGGATAGGAGCTCACCAGGTGAGGTGTGTGTGGGTGCCTCACTTCCAACTGGTCTGGTTGAAGAAATCCCAAAACGCTTCCCCCACCTCCCTATCAGTGCCTCAGACTTTGCCACTAGCACGTCTGTCTGCTCCTCTCCAGTTACAAAGTCCATTCCTGAGTCTTGCCCTGTGGTCCCTATGGCAGAGTCTGTAGCTGGGCCTGGGATAGCTTCTGAAGCTGCCCTGAGGGGAGAGTCAGTGTAAGCCAGTGCTCCCCTCCCCAGGCTGGGAAGAGTCAAACCTGCCACCTCAACTTGGCTCAAAGGAAAGGGAAGCCAGGCGCTGACAGCAGATCATTTGCTTCCCAGAACAACGCTCTCTCACAGAGAAGTCCTGTTGCAAATGACAAAAACCCAGTTCAAACAAAAAGGGAAACTTGCTAGCTCATGTTAACTTCAGGTCTGGCTGGATCCAGGTGCTCAATGACCTTGCACAGTCTCTCCATCCCTTGGCTGTGTGCCTCTGCTGGCTCTGCTCTCTAGAACCCTCTCCCTGTGTGGAGGTGAAGGTGGTGGGAAGGGGGGAACAGGAATCGTTGATAGAGTTGGGGAGAGTGGTTCTTCAGAAAACTTGAAAAGCTATTTCTAAAAGAAGACGGGTGGATGCAGAGTGGGCCACAGGTGTTCCCTATAAATCTTAGACACTGCTTTAGTTGTTCTGTAATGAGGAAACTGAGGCTCAGGCCTAAGGGAATTGCTGGCCTTTCTTGGCAACCAACAGGAGGCAGAGTCAGGATTTAAACTGAGGCCCCCAGGCCTGCAGAGCCTGTGGATTTTCCTGTGTGCACCGGGCTCCCTTCCTGCCTGAACCCACTACAGGAGGTGCCAAGACCCGGACTCCAGGGAGATGCCAGCAGGCCCGGAAATGCTGAAGAAGCTGGTAATGGTCCTTACATCTCATTCATTCACTAGTCCTGGTCCCCAAACGACTCCCTACCTGCCTATACCAGGGACCACAGGGGTGGCTAATGGGAGCCCACGTCAGGCTGGTCTTGAGAAGCTGGCAGGCTGTGCACACACTGTGTTGCCTTTGGGTTGGAGGCCTGTGTCGGGGCTGGGTGGGCACCCAGGAGGAGGGCTGCGAGGACTCACACAGGGCTTAACCCTTGAGTAATGTGGAAGGAGACCAGAAGCTCCCGCACAGAGCCTGGAAGAGGAGGAGGCTAGAGCCTCAGGCGCGGGCCATGAGCCAGACATGGAGGTGGGAAGTGGACAGACTGGTCAGGGTCAGGCGTGAGTCTTATTTTCAGGACCAAGTGGAAGTTTATGAAAATCCAGCAAGATCTGGGGACAGATGTGTGGATTTGGGGGTGTGGGAGGCCCAGGGCTAAGGACACTATGGGGAGGAGGGAGAGGGGTAGGCAGACCTGGCCAGCCAGAGGCAGTGGGGGACCTCAAGGAAGGGCCCTGGATTCTGCATGAGCCCCTACAGAGCCTTATGGCCCCTGCCCTGCACCTCCCACACCTGTGGCCTTGCTTCCCAGCTCTGCTCTTTGGCCTTCAAACCTTCATCAGCTCCTGGTCTGAGTCAATCATGCAGTGACGTGCGGGCAACGGTGCCATCTCATGAGGCTGCTCTACCAGCCTCTGTCTCTGGATGCTTCTTTGCACAGGCCCTGCCCAGGCAGGAAAGGGCTGTTGCTGCTACCCGCCACTGCCACTGCCGACCTCGTTCTGGCCTCATTCCCAAAGCAGGAGGTGGCTTTGTGGAGCTCAGAGGCCAAAGAGGTCTTTTCACTCCTCTCAGGCCAACTGCAATCTGACCAGACTGGCTACCAGGGAATGAAGGAACCAGGGGTTGCAGGCAGAGGATCAGGAAGTGCTTGCCCCTGGAAGCTGGCTCTCTGGCTGTGCTGGAGCCTGAAACTGGAACCTGAGCTAGCCTGGAGAAGGAGGGGCCATTTGGAAGAAACCATGGGGCCGCTGGCCGCTGGACACAGGAGGCCATTTGAGGTCACAGGTCTGTTGGCTGACATGAGTGGGCCTGGGCCGTAGGCTCCACCCAGCAGAATCATGAGCCACATAAAATGGGCGTTGTTTTAAGCTACGAGGTCTGGGGGTGGTTTGTTACCCAGACAGAGCCAGCTGGTACAGGCTCAGACAGCATCCAGCCCACAGGTGTCTGTGTACCTGGGAGTCTGTTTCCCACCCCAGGATGCGTCCCCAACCCCCAAAAGTGACACCTGGAGGAGAGGATGAACAGCTGAAAGTTATTCCTGTGAGATCTGAAGTTGGACAAAGCCCTGGAAGCCAAATGCTTCTGAGGGAGTCAGAACAGCATGGTGGATAGGCCTGACCTGTGACCCCTCACCCCTCCTCTTAGTAGGCCCCTCCCTGAAGGGCTCAGGCCAGGGTGCCCAGTGCACCCCACCCCTCCTCGCCGCATCACACCACATGGAGTCTCCTTGTGCATTTCCACAGGCTGACCCGGGACTCCTAGAAAGGGAGTCTCCCAAAGCTGTCTGTCTGGCTGCTAGTATACTACCCGCCCAGCCAGTAGGACACGCCCAAGCCCCAACCCACCCCTTGAGCTCTGAGTGTGAGAATCTGAGAAGGGAAGTTTGTGCTGCCAAGCCTGAGTCAAGGCTGCAGGCTTTCAGCTCCAGATGGCATGGGGACTCCCCAAGGGCTCTATCAGGAAACCCAAGGTCACCGGCAGAGCAGTTAGAGGATCCCAGGCTCCAACCCAAAATCCTCCTGCTGGCGTGGTACAGGCTGAGTGTGGTCAGGGCACCTTGGCTGGAGGACGTGGCTAAAGGACAAGGACTGGAAGTCCAGTGTTTGGACACCAACCAGGCAGAGCATGTCCCAAACCCACTTTGTCATCTGCCCTCCTCAATCCCTGCATTCCTTATTTTAGAACCCCCAACACCCAAGTCAGAGACTTCAAAGTCACCTGGCCTCTTCTGTCGCTCAGTCGGTTTCAGTCCTGCCAATCAGCCCCACTAACCCGCCCTGGGCTTGAGCTGTGCGGGGCCCTCCACACTGGTGATGTTCCCTGGCATCGAGTCCTGTCTCCCTGGCACCACCTGACAGCCGGAGCAACATCACTCAGAGACAGTGCCAACTCAGCCTGCTGCACTGCAGTCCTGCCGCCTCTGCAGCCGCGCCGCCTGCCTGCCTTGACCACCTTTGCTCTCCTCCACTGCCTGCTGCCCTCACACCTGGGATCCCCTCTGCTGGGTCTCCGGCCCGCCCTGCCCTCGTCTGGTCAGCTTCCGCCCCGGGCGCAGGCAGCACTCGCTGCAGGAAGCTGGCCTGCTCTCCCTCTGTGCCATCCCTAGAAAGGCCTGCTCCCTTTCCTTCTCCTCCCTGTTTCCGCGGCAGCCTGCTGCTGCTGCTGCTGCTGCTGCAATGTAATTAGGGGTTCTCAGGCCATCTCCCCTGCCAGGCCAGGGACTCCCCGAGGGGAGCAGCCCATCTTCCTCAGCTCCACTTCGCTGGTGTCCAGCAGAGGGCTGGACGCAGAGTAGGCAGCAGTGACTGTTTGCCAGTGAGTCAACGACTGAAAACAAAGGCATCTGCTTTATTTGTTTTCAGACAGTAGCGCATACTTTGTTTCCTAAACACGTGGCAGCCCCAGGCTCAGGGGCATATGCAGGGGCCCAGCAGGAAACGGCAGGGCACAGTGGCTGTGGTCCCATGATTGGTCCCTTCTTCAGGGCTCCAAGTCACTGCCAGGGCAGGGAATGATGTCTGCTCCTCAGCCCTACAAAGAGAACAGGTCAGAGTTGAGTCAGGGCCCACTCCGCCCATGCCCTCCAGCTCCGTGCAGATCGCCCTGTGACAGCAACCGCTTCCCAGGGAGCAGCTGTGAGTTGGTCTCCCTCCTCACCTGGAGACCCATCAGTGAGTCTCTTCACCTCTGTACCCCGGAGCCCAGCACAGTCCCCAGCAACAGGGGACGGGCCCTCACTCCACACGACAGTGACACCAGAACCCGCTCCCCTTTCCTTTACTCTCCCAGGGCTGGCTCAGAAGGCAGGTCCCCTGCCCCTGCCCCCTCAACCTGCTGCGGTGTTTCTGACAAGCACCCTGGATATAGAAGAGTCTAACCCAACTCTGCTCTGCCTCATCAAGGCCTCCCCTCTGTTCTCTGATTTTTCACAGCTCAGCAGGAGCCTGCTGGGATGCTGGGGTCCGCACAGTCAGGGTCCTGTGGTGGACAGCCTGAGGCCCCTGTCCTCATCTGAGATGCCCAGCACATCTGCACACAGGCAGGTGCCAGGCTCTGGGCCTAGGCATCACCTACCTGCCCTAGGAGCCCCAGGGCAGATGTTAGATCCTGGAGAGAGAAGCAGTGCTGCCCCACCCCAAGGCCCTTGACCATGTGGGCCTCTGTCCCCTGCTGTTTGGCCCCTTGCATAAGCAAATCCCTCTTAGGGACCCTTCACTCCCCGCTCTCTGGTTCTGCCAGCAGCCTTCTGAGGCGAAGGCTGGCGAAGGGTGGTGAGAGTTTCTCCAGCACTTGCCACATCTCACACACAGGGCACCACCCAAGTGCCTGGGTGCTGGGGCTCCGAGGGAGTCAGGTTGAATATGCCGTCTCCAAATGCACACACACTGCCAAGGCAGCACGTGGGGAGAGCAGGCAGGCCTCTGGCACTGCCATTGCTCAGTCTCTGGTTTCTTTGCTAGTCATGTCAGGGGTAGGGGCCGGGAAGGAGGGAGCCAGACCTGGCAGTGTCCCAGAGCCTCTCTCAGGGAATACACTGGGGTTTAATGTGATCTGTCTTCCTTGGTAATCACATTTTTGCCTTGGTGCGAGGAAGATATATTGGTGAGGTGTGTTTGTTAAAGAAATACTCTTAGGGGTGGTGGGTAGGGGCTGAAAACTACCACAGAGGTGGGGCTGGATGGAGAGAGGATGGAGTCTAGGGCTGGCCACTGAGGCGTAGGCCCTGCCAGGAAGCCAAGAGGCTGCAGCAGATCCCTCGGTAAAGAGTTAGGTGTGTGATGAACAGAGACTCGGAGCTGCCCTTGATTGGGTGTGTGGAGGATCTGGAGGCTTCACTTTGCTGGTGAGTAGGGAGCTAAGTGTCTGGTCGGTGCGAAGGGCCCTGGTCTGGCCCAGCCTACCCAGTGCCCCAGCGCCTCCTGCCCACGTGGAAGCAGAGTGAGCAGCCTTCCATCCTCTGAGATGGAGGAGGAGGCCGCCTGTCCTACCCAGGGCTTCCCTCTCTTGGAAGGCTGACAGAGGCCTTGCGACCACTCATCCTGTGTGGAGCTACTTCTGGGCTGTGTTCTGGCCATGAAGGGACAGTCGGTGCTGGACGGGGCTGTGACCAGCAAAGAGTGGAACAATCAGCCTTGGCAGATGGGTGTGAGCAGGGCATGACCCAAGGAAGCTCTTGCAGGCCTGGGGCTGCAGGACCCCGCTCAGTTCAGTGGGACAGATCTCCCCTTGGACATGGCTGGAGAGCACAGAGCATCTGGCCTCAGCCTTTTCCATCCCAAGTACCTAAAGCAGCCTGTCTCCTACTCAGGCCAAAGAGGCTTTTACGTGGGAAAGGAGACCTCGTCCTGTTGTTTCTCCCATACATTTTCACAAACAGGCCGCACTCCTTGGGGAGCCCAAACTAGGTGTTCTGAGAGTGAATGATGCTCCCCAAGGTGGGAGCTGTCCTGTTGGGGTGGGGCAAGGGTGAGGTATGGCTGGGAACAGCCTGACTGCACCAGAGGACGCTACGGGACCTGGGAAGGGGGAGGACTTATCTAGGATAGAGAGCAGCAGTTGGGGGTGGGGGAGGAAGGCAGTAGGAGCTGGCTGGGAGCGCATCACAGGCATCCAGGACAACCGAGGCCCACTGGAGTGGGAGGTGACCAGAGAGCACATGAGGCTTGGGACCACTCACCAGGAAGGCCAAGCCAGCACACCCCTGTAGACCAGCTCAGGGCAGGGTGGCTGTGAGCAGCTTCTGATGGCCACATCTGCTCCCACTCCTCTTCCAGATGGCCTATCCTTGCTGGGACCCCCACTCTGCACTCGGGCCTCTGCCACCCTCCCACCCCTAAGTGCCGAGGGCTAAGAAGTCCCCGGCACCCACAAGGGGCCCGGCCCTTGAAGGTGGGGCCTGACTTTACCCAGCCTGCTCCCACCCAGCCTAATAGGGCAAACGCAACAGGGATCATCTCCCTGGGGCCAGATGTCCAAGGCGCTCCTGGAAGCAGCCAGGAGAGTGTGCAGGTGACTGAGGAAAGCGAAGAATCCCTCCCTTGGCAAATGCAGAGACCTCCAAGTGGAGCATCTGATTCTAACAGGAAAAGGCAGGCAGAGATCTCCAATGCTAGATAGAGGTACCTCGCCTACCTCCCAAGGCCCTTGGAAACCTGGGAGGCAGGCAAGGCCTTACCTTGTGGGCGGCGCTCACGCAGCGCTGGTATGCCTTGACCAGGTCCGAGCACAGCAGCACCTCATGCGGGCGATCTCGGTAGCAGTGGAGAATCTGGGCCTGCAACCCTGAGCAGACGGGCTCCACCCTGCGGGGCCTGCAGAAGACAAGAGCAGGCAGGCCTGGGGCTCAGGTGCCAGCAGGCAGGGGAGAGAAACAACTCACATTCACTCCACCTACCTCCCAGGCGCTAGGCTAAGTCCCTGACACCCAGCAGCATCCTTTTAACCCTCAAGGAGAAGCACTGTGCTTTCCCGTTCTAGAAATGAGAGGACGGTCGCAGGGTCAAGCCCTGTGGTGGGTGGCTTAGGCTCACAATATAGCAGACACTGAAACATGCTGTGGTATGGGGCTCCACACCGGGCTCCTTCACTGGGGCCTGTGTACACTCAGGAGACAGGAAAGCCCCACTGGAGGGCCCCCATGAGGATGGTGCAGCCCGCCTCCAGGACAACCCGCCCCGCTGTGCCCAGGATAGCCATCCCTTTATGCCTGAGACAGCCCGCCCCACTGTGCCCAGGATAGCCGTCAGCTGCTTTCCTGGGCTTTCCTGTGCCTGTGGTTTACCCGTGACTATAACCATGTGACTTATTTTTTTTCCTGATTTAAAACTAATATGCGTGCAATAAGGAAAATGAAATCTACAGAAATGTCTAAAGAAATGAAAAATGTTCTTTTTACTTCTTAGAGGTAACCATTATAATATTTTGGGGGTAATTTACTATTTTTTTCTTTCTTTTTCAAAGTAGTTTTAGAACCCACAAAAGTGAGTAAGTTCACTTTCTAAAGTTGTGGAAAAAAAGAGCAAATATAGATAAACTAAAGTCAGTCACTGGCCCAGCCTCCTGAGCGTAATTTTGGATTGGTTGGTCTCCTTCCAGATTTCTCTCTCTCTCTCTCTCTCTCTCTCTCGTGCGCACACTGACACACACAACAGCACATTCGTGCACTCCCTGCCAGCCAGGTGCTGTCCTCCGGCTGCTGGGCGTGCTCAGTGCTGCTCCTTACAGCTCTGGTAGCAGACACTATCGTTCATCATGCTGTTCACACAAATGAGGAAACTGAGGCTCAGAGAATTAAGGCCATGCAGCTGGACAGTGGAGGAGCGGGACATATTTATTTACATGGCTTTGGATGTACTGTTGCTGCTCATTTGTTTTCTTAAGTGGGTTTTAGGCCAGGACCCTTCCCAGCTGTAGACGGACCCACTGTAACACTTAACAGCCTTTCCAAATTGAACACCACTCACGGCTGAGGGCACCAAAAAGAGCTGTAAAAATGTAGAAAGCCATTCCTCAAGTTTCTTAGCAATAGAAAGGATCACTGTCACACATGCCACAGCTCCACTCCAGGTACGTGGAGAGAGAGATATGTAGGTCAGTTGCTCTCCCACCAGGGTCTCCAGAGCCGTTATCATCTAACGATAACTTGAACACAGTTCCTCAGCTAGAAACCACCAGCACCAGGATGCTCGACAGCTTGGGAACAGGACCCCATATTTAGCTGTCTTGCTCTGGAAGTCTGCGGGTGGACACTTCTGTACACTGCTGACTTAGCAGTGATGCCACCTGGGTCTGGTCTTCCCTTCTCGTCCATGTCATCCCCAGGCCACTGTATGCAGCGCAGTCCTCTCTGCAGCAGAGGTCAAAGGGAGCAGGGAGGAGCAGGTCTCTCTGCTGTCTCATCTGACTACGCGGGACAATGCTCCCCTCAAACCCCACTCCAGGTTTCTCCTCCACTCACTGTCTAGGACCAGGTCACATACCCATGCCTAACACCATCGCTAACATGAGCAGTGAGTGTCCCATGTTCAGCTAAGGCCAGCAAGACCCATCCCCAGGGCATGAACAAAACGAACAGTCCCTAAATTAAAGACGGGGAGGGATGAGTGTGGGGTGGGGTGCAGCCGCCTGTGACTGCCATGCCACACCAGCGCCAAGGTAAAGGATGTGAAGGGAGAGCACGCCTTCCCCTTCCTGCCAGGGGAGGCCATGGTGGCCCAGCCCTGGCCTGGGTCCTTGAATTCCACCCCATCCTAGCCATTGAGGTCACAATTCTGACTCAAGTCTGCATTGCATGCACCAAGTCTTAAAGGGTCCTCTTATTTCCTGAAGAGGACTGGGTGGGGGGGGTTTTATCTGCATTGACTTCTCGTTCTTACATATGCAGGGCAGATGAGCCCCTGGTGTGCAGTCCTCTGCCCAGCTCCGGAGACCCGCTTCACTGGCCTGCGTCAGCTGCCGCACAGGCGGCTGGGGCAAGAATACAGCTGGGGTGTCTGGGGCAGCCCCTGATTTGTCTCCAGGTGCTTAAGCACGGCTCCACATCTGTATTTAAGAACTGTGACATGGGTGTGTCTAGTTGTGGGCTTTTTAGGCTGCTTCTTCCTTGGGGGACGGCTGGCCTCATGGCATTTCGTCTCAGGCAGGTGTTCTCAGGGACTGCACATACAGCTTTGGTTCTGAGTGTTCTGACACCTGTTTTAGGAGCACTTTCAAGTCACAGGCCAGGCTCTCTGCCTCCATCGCAGAGGCCTCCCCTCCTGTTCTGCTCCCTGAGTCTCCAGCCTTAGAAGGCTGTGCTCTCCCCTCCCCAGGCAGGGTTAAATCTGCAGGGCAGTGGGTGCCTTCAGTGGCACTGCCAGTCTCCCTGGGCTCTCTCTTGTCACCTATACTGCTGTCCCCTCATACCAGCCTCTTGCTGTGTCTTCTGTTCCTCCTGACGGTGCTGGCCCTCTAGAGTCTGAGACCCCAGAGCATGACTTCCATCATAGCCTCTGCTGCACTCCCCTGAAGCAGGACCCCACCCTGCCCTCATGGGGCCCTGGTGAGCCTGGTTCCTGGCTGCACCGTGGAGGCCAGCAGGCACTGAGGGGACCTGTGTGTCATGGTGAGTGGCTCAGGGGAAGCCCCAGGCTTAGTCAGGGCAGAGCTGTCCTAAGCTGTAACTCTGTGAGGCTTACTGATCTATGTGAAAAGAGGTACCATAGACAGGACAGGCGGAGGCTAAGTGGCCCCAGCCTGAGTCATGTGGCTGAGCCTCATGGAGCTGGAGGGCTGACCTGCTGAGCCCTGCCCTCTACAGAGGCACAACAGAGACGCCGACACTTTGCAGAATGGCGATGTGCAGGAAGACACAGCCACATTTGCCCCTCTCCCCATGGTCAGCCTGGCTGTGTCCCCTCCTCACTGGCTTCTCCTACTTTAGTTTCAGGTCCCAGGACAAGGGCCTCTGCATTTTGAGGGCAAACCTCGCAGTGGGCTCCCAGTTTAGGAGAAACTGGGCCATGGCGAAATCTATCCCCTCCTTGCCAGTATCGCCCGTGGGACCATGACAGCCTCTCTCTCCTGGGACTTATCAGAACAATATGAGGAGACAGAATGGAAGGCAAATGTCAACTGGAAGAAATTTCACCCATTTGTCCACAAAAAGGCTCTGAATGGGATAAGACAGGGAGAGCATAGCTCTGGAAATGAAAAGCTTTCTCTGAAGCAAGGCAGGGCTAGGCCTTCGGTGAAGCCATTCACAAAAGTAGGTGCACTCTATCCACCCTGAACCCCTCCCAGCCCTGGCACACCATGACCCTGTTTACAATGCATACAAAACAGCTCCCATGTTCAGAAACATGGTCTTGCAAACAGCTACTCTTCACATGCACAGATAAAGGTATCCAAAGTGTGCCACAAACTTGCCAGGGATAGAAATAAGTCCTGTACCCCTGTGTAAGGACATTTCCTTGGAGAATGAAGATCTAATGGTCCATGTGGCTTCGAAGGGGTTCACACCATTCGCATTGGTGTATGGGGTGTCTGTTTGCACAGGCATCAAAGACAATGCCCAGGAAGTTGGCTCACCTCACTGGCTCTTATGTTCCTCATTGGTACAATGGGAACAGTAACACCGCTTGCCCCATAGAAGAACAGAATTGCATGCTGTGAAGTGCAGCTCTCATAGCAACCTAGCCATCAGTGTGAGAAACCGAGGTGGGGCCAGGGTCTGGAGTGGGGTGAGCTTGCAGAAAGGCTGGGTTACTGGAGGCACTTGGCAGAGAAGAGCTGAGGATATGCTGGGGTGGTGGAACTGCCAACGTAGGGCTTGGAGGGTGGGACCTTACCTTAAAGGGTCCCTCCCTCTACAGCGTAAGCTCTGATATCATTCGAGACCTAGTTCAGACCTCGCCCAGCCTCAGTGGTGCCTCCTCCTCAGGCATGTTAGGGCATTAGCGAGTCTGCATAATCATGGTGTCTCTTCAACAAGGAGCTGGCAGATGTCTGAGGCTGGGACTCTTGGTCTAGTGGAAAGAACACAGGTTCTGGGATCAGACAAACCTGGGGCAAGGCGCTGGCTTTGTCACTTTCCACTGTGTGGTCGGTGCATCAGGTATGGGGGAGGACCCCACCCCACAGAGCTGTTGAGAGGATGGCAGGAGAATGGCAGGTGATGCCCAAGACGGCCCGGTCAGAACATGCTCAGTAACGCAGTGTGGCCCTGAAGGAATCATTGGCATTCAGTAAATAGGACCACAGAAGACCCCACATCCAGCCTCCTGATGGCCCTGAGAATGTGATGGCCACAGACAAGGCACATGGGTCCTGGTCCCTGGCAAGCAGGCCGCATAGGTCTGCCTGACTCCCAGAGCCCCCACCCTGTCGGCTGAGACCACAGACACAGCAGAGTCCAGAGGCCCCATGTGGTTCCTTCCCAACCCCTGTGCCTGAGCGGGCCTCTCCCACTGACCACCTCTCCTGGACCTTCTCCATTCCCCGCACTCCATCCAAAACACATTCATCTCTCAAAATATGGAAAAGCTTTTCAAATCGAAACCCCCTTTTGCCTCCATCTCCGTCCCAGGCCACAGCAGCTTCTCCTTGCTTAGAGAGGTGCTGCCTGGGGCTCCCCCTGCCCCACTCCCCTGGGCCCCATGCCGAGCCTCACTGCTCAGCTGACGGCACCTGCCTGGCCCTCACTGCCTCTCTGGCCACTTACTCTGGTTCTCTTCTGCTGGACCCTGGGCCTCTGCCTGTGTGCGAGCTCCACCTGTGGCCCCTGCCCTTGTCCCCTCAGCACACCAGCATGGTGCCCAGCTCAAGACCTGCTGTCCCCTGCCTGCCATGCAGCCCAGCAGGTGGCCATGGGCCCACATGGACCAGATGTGGCTAGCCCTCATCCCAACATCTCCTCCTCCTGAATTTCAGTTGGGTCGGCAGCACCAACACCCAGCTGGTCCAGCTGCACACCCAGAGCACCCAACTTCTCCAGCCCCCATGCCCACAGAGCACTCCCAAGTCTAGCCTACAGGAGAGCCCTAGCCCATGCCCTTGTTTTCACTGTCATTAAATAGCCTCCCAACGGTCCTCTCTACTTCCAGCAACAGTGATGCTTTCAGAACATAATGCAGGCCACAGATTTCTAAAACACCAAGGCAGTTCAAAAACTCATTCTTAGGTAATCACAACTCACTGCACAATGTGCGAAGCATTACCTCATTTAATCCCAAGCAGGCCCACATAAGGTAGAAGCTCTGTTTTTCCTTAAAACAAAACAAAACAAAAACAAACCCACAATGTCTCCAAGTGATACAGTAACTTGCTCAAGTTCACCATTTGAAAAGCAAGGCCAGATCTCAGGCCTAGTTAGACTGTACCCAGACCTGACGGCCTGCTAGGTCTCCCATGGACCTCAGGCTATCTCAAGCACCCTGACACTGTGACCTGTCACCCTGCCATTGTCGCAGAGCTGGTATAACTCTGCCGCCAGCCTGAGTGCCCTGAGAAGTTGGTCTGTGTCCCCAGCCCATCCCCAGCTGGATGAGGGAACTGACCTCACACCTCTGGTGGCCGACTGGCCCCTGGTCTCATACCCACTTCTCCTCAGGCAGAATACACTGCACTTGGTGAAGAACCCATAACTAGCTAGAGACCCAGGCGATCCTCCCTCCCTCTTCCTTCTCTCTGGTCTTGGTCCACTATCCATAAGTTTCGGTACAACCTTCCCTTCCATCCATAACCTCTGCACCCTTCCCTTTCCACTCATGACATGCCTCTGAGCAACCTCCCTTCCAATCCACGTGAAGCTTCTTTGCAACTTTTCCTTCCATCCATGGAAAGCTTCCATGAAGTCTTCCCTTAGTTACATGACAACATTCTGTGCAGTATTCATTTTTTTGTATTAGTCTGTTTTCACACTCCTATAAATAACTGCCTGAGACTGGGTAATTTATAAAGAAAAGAGGTTTAATTGACTTACAGTTTTGCATTGCTGGTGAGGCCTCAGGAAACTTACAATCATAGTGGAGGGGGAAGCAGGCACATCTTACATGGCGGCAGGTGAGACAGAGATGCAAAGCGGGAAGAGCCCCTTATAAAATCATCAGGTCTCACGAGAACTCACCATCATGAGAACAGCCCGGGGGAACCACCCCCATAATCCAATTACCTTCCTTCCTTGACACGTGGGGATTACAATTCAAGATGAGATTTAGGTGGGGAAACAGCCAAACCATATCAATTTCATCTGTGACAAGCTTCCGTGAGACCTTTGCTTCCCATCTATGACATATGCAACCTTCAATCCATAACAAGAATCCATATGACCTTTCCTTCCCATCAACAACAATGCTTTCTGCATCACTCCCTTCCCAACAATGGTATGGCTCTATGCAGCTGCCCCATCCACCCATGACAAGCTTCTGAACACCCTCTCCTTCACATCATAGCCATTCCTCTGTGCAGCCTTTCTTTCCCATCCATGAAAATCCTGTGCAGGCCAGGTGCAATGGCTCATGCCTGTAATCCTAGCACTTTGGGAGGCCGATGCAGGCGATCACTTGAGGTCAGGAGTTCAAGACCCACCTGGCCAGCATGGTGAAACCTCATCTCTACTAAAAATACACAAATTAGCCAGGCATGGTGGTGAGGGCCTGTAATCCCAGTTAGTTGGGAGGCTGAGGCAGGAGAATCACTTGCACCCAGGAGGCAGGTGTGCAGTGAGCAGAGAGCGTGCCACTGCACTCCAGCCTGAGATATAGAGCAAGACTTTGTCTCAAAAGAAAAAAAAGTCTCTCTGTAGCATTCCCTTCCATCCATGACAATTTTCATTGCAGTCTTCCATTCAATTCATAGACATTCTAGTGCTCGGCTTTCCTGCTGATCCACAATAAGCTTCTCTGCAGACCTCCCTTCTTGTAGGACAAGCTCCTGTAAACTACACTTCCCTCTATGAGAGGCCTCTGTGCAGCCTTTATCTCTGCCTCTGACTACCCTGCATACAACTTTTTCTTCCATGCACAGAAAGCCTCTCTGAAGCCTTCCCTTCCCTCAATGACAAAACTTGGTGCAGTGCTCACTTCCATCCATGACAATCCTCTGTGTGGCCTTCTTTTCCCATCATCTGTGCAGGAATGAGAATTTTGTGTGGAGACTTCCCTTCACACCCATGGCAAGCCTCTGTGCAGTCTTCCTTCCCATTCATAACACAACAAGCCACTGTGCAGCCCTCCCTTCCTCCCTGACAAGTGTCTCTGAAGACTTCCCTTCCTTCTATGACAAGACATCTGTGCAGCATTCACTTCCATCCATGAAAAGGTTTTGTGCAGCCTTTTCTTCTCATCAAAAAAGCTTCTGTGCATCCTTCCTTCTCATCTATGGCAAGGCTCTGCATTCTTCCCTTCTCGTCATTAACATTCCTCTGTGCAGCTTTCCTTCCATCCATGATAATTCTGTGTGTAGCCTTCCCTTCATGTCCAAGACAATCTGCACCCTTCCCTTCTATCCAAGCAAGCCTCCGTGCAGCCTTTCCTTCCCATTGGTGATAAGGCTCTGTACAGCCTTCCCTTCCGTCCACGGCGGCAGTCCGCGCAGCAGCCTTCCCTTCCGTCCACGGCGGCAGTCCGGGCAGCAGCCTTCCCTTCCGTCCACGGCGGCAGTCCGGGCAGCAGCCTTCCCTTCCGTCCACGGCGGCAGTCCGGGCAGCAGCCTTCCCTTCCGTCCACGGCGGCAGTCCACGCAGCAGCCTTCCCTTCCGTCCACGGCAGACCTCTGGGCAGCCTTCCCTTTCGTCCACAGCAGGAGTCCGTGCAGCCTTCCCTTCCGTCCACGGCAGACCTGTTGGTGCAGCCTTCCCTTTTTCCGTCCATGGCAGGTGTCTGTGCAGCCTTCCCTTCCGTCCATGGCAGGCGCCTGTGTAGCTGTCCATGACTGCACAAACCTCCTGGGTCCAGGGCCGCCACTGGGTTATGAAGTGTTGCCTGTTTGTGCCTAGATAGGAAATGCAGACTGTTGGACAGGGTCAGGTTGTCCCTTCTGTTCTCCTTGGCTCAGAGTCAGCAGCACAGCCTGCTGGTTCAAAGCACACAACTGGCTGTATCTGAGACTCTGCCAAGCAGGAGCATTGGAGGGAAGGAAACACTGGACCTGGCAGTGCTATAAGGCAGGAGCTGTGCCACCACTGTCTATTAATGCACTGACTTCACACAGCAGGACTCTCAGGTAAGGCAGAGATGCCCCTTTATTTCTCAGGTTTCCCCTTCTGGCCTGGGTAGCATGGGTTTGGCCCACATGAGCCAGCCTGGGCTAGTATGAACCCATTCATGGGCCCAGTGAAAGGTATGGGGTGAAACTGTGATCTTCCAGGGAGAACATAAAGCTGGGCTTCCAAACTCCATGACCCACTGTCCAAAAGGAAACAGACTCTAACACCAAATGAGTTCCTCAATTCGAAGCCAGGTACTATTTTTAGCTTTCCTGTAGCACAAACCTATATGTTCCACTTTTGGATTAAGTCAGTTTGGAGAGGGTGCCTGTCACAAATTGTTGTCAGAAGAAGACAACCTGGTCAAGTTGAGGGGTCCAGGGGCTCCTGAGAACTAGACATGTGCAAAGGTTAGTGGGTTTGATGATCCCCTCAAATTCATGTCCTTCCTGGAGCCTCGGAACATGGCCTTATTGGGAAACAGGGTTGTTACAGATGTGATTAGTTAAGACAAGGGCATATGGGGTAGGGTGGGCCCCTAATCCAGTACGAATCCCATTCATATTCTCTTGTGAAGAAGAGAGGAGACACAGAGACCACAACACAGGGAGGAGGCACTATGGGGACCGAGGCTGACAGTAGAGCGATGTGTGTGCCCAACAGTATGTGTGTCCCGGAATGCCAAGGATGCCAGCACCACCAGCAGCCTAGGAGGGGCTGCAACAGATTTCCCCTCCAGCCTGAGGGCGAGACTGGACCACCAACACCTTAATTGTGGACCTCTGCCCTCCAGAACTGTGAGAGGATAAGTTTCTGGGCTGAAAGGCCTGACATGTGGTGCTTTGTTTTGGCAGCCCTGGGAAACCCATGTCATCAGGCATGCTGCAAAGGGGTTGGACCCGTTTCCCAGAAGTAGAGTGGGGAGCGGGGATGGGCAGGAATGACCGGGGGACCAATGTATCTCTGATCGTTTTCTGAGAGCAGTGTGCACTTTCCACGGCATGGTGGCTGGGCCCAGGCGCACATCAGCAATAGCCGCTACACTTCAATGCCCACCACATGCCAGGCTCCATGCCAGGGTCTGCACATGGTGTCTCCAATCTCTGTCCTCCCCTGTAAGGCGTTATTTTATTTAGAGATGAACTGACTCACCTTAACCCACATAATGGAAAAGGGGAGGAGCCGTAGCTTATGAGCCGGTTCCTAAAGCTGCTGCCAGGTGCTGCCCAGGAAGTCTTCTGCACTGGGAGAGATCTGGGATGAGGATCAGCCTGTGGGAGGGGAGCTGATGGTCAACAGCACGGGCAGAAAATTCGGCCTCATTTGAGAGTGGATCTGGATGTCTGTGGTCTTGGGAACTTCTGCCTGTCAGGGCTTCCTGTGTTCTAGGTTCACAACAACCCTGTGAGCTGGGCCTTCCCACCCCGTTCTGCAGACGGGGTTGGTAAGTCACAGGCAGCTCACGTGACTGGCCCGCAGTCACAGAGCAGTGAGAGGGGCCCGGGATAGGAAGAGTGGAGTGTGCTCAGCTCCATAGCTCTTGCTCTCTGCACCGCCACATGAGCTCCACTCTGCCATTAGAAAATTCCAAGACATTCTGAAAGAGACAACCAAGGGTACTCAGAAAAAGAAAAGACAGTTGCCCCGAACCACATTAGGCAGGGCTCTGCATGGGGCAGAAGCTTGCCAACTCCCATTGGGCAGCCGGGAAGCTCCCAGCCCAGGAGCCACAGGGAGGAAAGTGAGAGAGGAAGACATGAACTCATGGCAGCCTGCAGCATCAACATGAGGTGGGAAGAAAAGCAAACAGAAGTGAGCGGAAGCGTCCTGTCATGAGACCAGCCTGGCAGAAGCATGGGTGGCACCTTCCCATCTTGGGCGCACACATCGTAGGTGGCCAAGTCGTTCCCATGACGGCGGGCACTCCAGCTCCCAGGTGGGCAAGAAGAGGGATTCGGGACCAGACGCCAGGCCCTGTTCTCTCTTTCTCCTGTGGAGCGCGCCCAGCGCCTGCTCACACGTGTGGCCCCAAATCCTCTGTGTGCTCTCTTCACTTTATTTAATAAATGGAATCTCATCAACTTATCCTTCTCCTATTATCACTGCTGACATCAATCTGATAATATTGGCCTGGTGTGGAACTGGGCTATTATATGTCCTCCTGATACTTAATTTCAGAGAAACATCAGCAGGGGGGTGAATACATGGAGCAGGCTTTTTATTACAGGCAGCAGTAAGGAGATTCCGAGTGAATTAGACATTCATCTTGGTCAGGTCCAATCTAGCTGTTCAGGAGGGGTTTCTGCTTTAACCCGTGGCTAGGGCTGAGGCGCTGATGAGACCAGCTGGTTACTAAGGACTTGGTTAACTGACTGCTATTGACGATGTGCCACTCAGCCTGGGTAAGTGGAACCCAGAGGTCCTGCCATCGATCAACACGCCACACGGGATTGCTATCAACTGCAGGATGCCGGGCTCCAGCTGCCCCATCCCTCAGGTGGGAGAGGGGCCTGTTTGAGAGCTGAGGCTTGCGAGAGAGCCTGGGGGTGCATTGCTCCCAAGAGGGCCTGAGACACAAACGAGCCCCTGGCTGCTGCTTAGTGAGGCAGAGGCTGCGTGTGACAGGATTGTCCAGGACTATCCCTTCTCTCTCACACACACGGAAAGAAGAAAGGGCCATTCCTCTTTGTTTCTTTGTTGGAAAAAAATAAAGAATGCACACTTTCCCTAAGAGGAGATGCACCCTCATTCACTAGATGTCAGAGGAAGCCAGGTGGGGCGCTTTCTGGGCTTTGGCAAGGCGGAAGGAAAGGGCAGGGCCATGGTGGCCTTTGGTGCTGGGGGATGACGACTTCCAGCCCGCCTGTGGCTGAAGAGCTTTCTGGCGCTGTTTCTGCCAATGAGACTCACCATGGCAGCCCCTTGCAGCCATGGCCTCTGGACACAGGGGAGTCCTTGGGCTGCCCCAACCCTGCTCTGTGTGGGGCTGCGGGAGGCTCTTGAGCACAATCCTATGACGTGACCTTCCCTCAGCACTGGGTCCTCAACAAAGCAGGGAGCTGTCACCCAACTGGCACTGGGTGGGTCCCTAGCACTCCAGACTGTGGGTGGCTGCCTGTTCCCCACCCCCTGTCGTCTTAGAGTCCTTGCCGCCTCTCTGCTGGAAACTTTAGCTCACCTTCTGGCTAATTCACTTCCCCCCTCAAGTCTCCCCAAGTTTACCCCTTTAGTCTCCCCATGTCTCCTGCCTTGAGTCTCCCTGAGTGTCCCCGCTCGAGTCTCCCCACTCAAGTCTCCCCCCGAGTCTCCCCATGTCTCCCTACTCGAGTCTCCCCGAGTCTCCCCGCTTGAGTCTTCCCCCGAATCTCCCAAGTCTCCCCGCTTGAGTCTCCCTGAGTCTCCCGACTTGAGTCTCCCCCATCAAGTCTCCCCCACACCGAGTCTCCCCCATCAAGTCTCCGCCACACCGAGTCTCCCCTACACTGAGTCTCCCCGTCCCGAGTCTCTCTATTCAAGTCTCCCCCCTCCCAAGTCTCCCCTGAGTCTCCCACCTAGAGTCTCCCTGTTCCCGACTTTCCCCGCTCCCAAGTCTCCCCACTCGAGTCTTCCCAACCCAAGTCTCCCTGCTCGAGTCTGCTCCTCCAGCCTGGCTCCTTGCTGACATCAACTAGAGGGATCTTTCTGACTCATGATGGTGGGGGTGCTCTGGCCCAAAGCTCCCCAGAGGATGGCGCCCCCCACAGGCCTGCCCTTCCAGCTCTGTGCTTTGGCCTCAGCAATCCTGAAGGTCAGAGCTCCCAGAACCCGAGGGCTGGCCAGCTCCACACAAGCACATGGCCAGTTCACAGTGAGCCAAAGTCCTCCTCACAAGAGCCGCCCGTGCCTGCTCTGCTGCCCTGAGCCTCCCTCCTACCTGGCCTCTTCTCCCCAGCCTTTTCCACAAACTCCATCGTACCAGCCTAAAACGCCCCCGTAAAGACCTATGCTAAATGAATGTCCTTCCTTCCTTCAAGGGACAACTATTTACTAAGTGCCCATCCCATGGTGACCAGACTCACAAACAATGAAACCTCTGCCCTGCCCTCAGGGACCCCTCTCACCCACCCACAGCCACAAGGCCTAGAGGCAAGGCCAACTCCACAGCGAGGCATTCCGGCCCCTCTAGGACCCAGTCCTGAGGAGAAGGTAAGTCTCCATCCTGCCTGATTGTCATCAACTGCCCCCACGCCTGGGCCACTGGGCCCCAGATTTCAGGAACACTCTTGACTCCTTCTCCAATCTGCCCCCATGTCTGTCTGCTAACCACAACTTCCCCTGAAGGTTACCTGCCCTTCTTCCCGCTGTCACACAGGTGCTGTGCGTCTGTGTAGTCCTATGTGGACAGGCCGCCAGCCCCGCCTCTCTGTCCCCTCTCACTGGGAGGAAGTGTTACTGACCCAGTGTCACTTCTGCTCTGTGGCCTCCCTGGCCTGCTCACCTGAGAGGGTCCTGTGACATAGACCATCTGAGCACACTGCACCCAGTCATGTGGGACATGCTGTCTCCCCACTAGACAGGAGTGCCTGGAAGCCAGGAACCACAGCTTATTACCTCGGCTGTAAGGTCCTCACAGAATACTATGCAGGAAGCAGATATTCTATAAATAAATTGAGGTAGGCAGAGCATCAATAATTAAGTCATTGGGGCTCCACCTTCTTCCAGCTTCTAGGGGCAGAGGCCAGATCTGACTGACACACCAGATGTGGATGTGTGCAGTCTGACCTGGGGCCTTTGTAACCCGGTGGGCTGAGCCCTGGACCATGTGCCCAGCCCCTGGCTGAACAGGCGTCTGTCTGGGCCATGCCGTGTCCTGCATTCTCACCTTCTCTTAGCTTCTATTCCTGAACACAGCTCAGCGCCTATTGCCAGGTGTGTGGAAATTCTGTAACCTACCTCCTTCTCCCATCCTCACTGTGGATCCAACTTATCAATTCTTCCTTTCATGCACTGTTTGGCATTATATCTAAGAGTCATCATCAAACCCAAGGACATCTTTTTCTCCTATGTTATCTTCTAGGAGTTTCACAGTTTTGCGTTTTACATTTAGGTCTATGGTCCATTCTGAATTAGTTTTCATGAAGTTCATAGTTTTTTAAGCTGCGATAGTGTTTTATCAGCTGGCAGCTCACTCATAACCTAAAAGGAAAAACAGATTCCTATAGGGCCTCCCAGAAGACCTGGGCCCCCCATCTATGACCCTTTCCCCTCCCTCTACTGTCTTCCTCGAGCACATTCAGAAACTGGAGCTGCACAGAACACCGTGGTAAACCCTAAGTATTGCAAAGAAGAGCTCTCAGACACTGGGCCTCCTTCATTATGACAGCCCTACCTCGCTACCCCATCACGGACACCAGAGGAGGCCAAAGAGGTCCTCCAGGACTCACCTCTCACCGTACCTCATGTCACCCAGAAAAAGGGGGACTGCAGACCATGTGTTTTTAGGATAGAAAGCACCCAGAAAATGTGCCTCAACTTCTACTGCCACACCTTGGCTTTGGACCAGAACTGACTTCCCTTAGAACAACCACAGGGTCAGCCACCCGCTACTGGGGTCTGGCAAGACACCTGATACAACCTGACCCCAGGTGAGGAGGCAAAACGAGGCAGAGGGAAAGTGGACACATCCCACAGCCATGCAGAGGTGAAGGCACACTCTGTTCCGATTTCCTAACTTCCATCAACCTGAAGTCACGAAAGGACTTTGAGTTGTTTTCCGAAAAAACAAAGAATGAAAGCCTTGTCCTTCAATTGTCCTTTTCCCTCCCAGCAGAAGTCACAGGGAGTGGGGTGGTAGTGGGGGGCGTCATTAGGAGGTGGTGGCAGTGGCCTGCTTGCAGCTAAGGCAGCCGGTGGGGTCCAGGAGGGGACGTGGCAGCTGAAAAGGCGGCTGGCATGGTTGAGAGACTGGTTACATTGAAACAAAAGTTCACTGATTGAGCAAATACATATCCTGTTGAAGAAAACAGCCAAGTCTCATGCTCTATGAGAAGGGAGATTTACACATGGAAAAGGAGAGAGAGAGAGCCCTACAAAGAGCCTCCAGATATTAGAACTGGAAGTATCACTATGGACTTGTGAAATACTCCCCCCCACACACAGATGGCAGTCCTCACGCATGCACTGTGGATGTACATGCACACACATCTACATACACATGCACTCTGTGTACACACATCCATGTTTCCCAGCTCTTCCCACTGAGAGCACCTAGAAGCAATGACACCTCCATAGCAGGGAGCACACCCGGAGCTCAGATCCCAGAGCATGGTTTCTAGCAGCATCCTCCAACAGAAGGAATGTGGCTCCTGGGAGAAACGGCTGACTCCAGGGCTGGGGCAGAGAAAGGACAAGATGAGCCTGAACACCTTGCGCTAGAAAGTAAATAATGAAGAGACATGCCAAAGGAAGGAGAGTCAGTTTGAAGGGCAAAATCTATGGCATTTTGAATATTAAAATAAGTTATAGATTATAGCCCAATGAATAAATATGAGTCCTTGACTCCTTACTAACATAACCAAATAAATGAATAGTTACATAACTAAAGAGAGAAGGGGAAACTCCTCCTTTAATAGAATATCAATTCATAAATGTAGAAGAAATGATGGAAATAGATCATCACAATGTTCTCAATGGAAGCTAAGGCTGATGGGTGGAAGTTAGATGAGGATCAGGATACTGGCATAACACTGGAGTATCTCCCCCACAAAATACTAAGCAAACACAAAGGGAAAATAAGGCCTTCACAGCAGGGAGACCGTGGAGATACCAATGTGACCAGGTCTAGGTCAGCATCACTAGTGGTAGGACAGGTGGCCTCTTGAACCTACTGATGGGATGCACCTCACAAACATAGCACCAGTTCTGGGGTCTTCCTGCCAAGAATGCACGGCTTGAGTCTGGTCATGAGGAAACACCAGGTGGGCCAGGGCTGGGGCTCTCCCTACAGATGAAAGCCCTGCACTTTCTTCAAGTCTGTCAGGGTGGAGAGAGACACGAAAGAGTAAGGAACTGTTCCATATGAAGGAGCTGATGATGCATGACAGATTCCTGGACCAGAAAGGAAACGACAACATTAGGGTAGCAGGTGAAGTGTGGTCTGTGGGCTGACAGTCCTGTTGAGTCAGTGCTGATTTCCTCATCGGCAGCAGTGTGAGGTGACCAAGGAGGAGGTATTCTTGGGAGGCCCATGGTGCATGGAAGTATTTAGGGGTAAGGAGTTATCATGTCAGAAAAAGACAATGTTTTCATCTAGAGAGAAAAGGTGATGAAGCAAATTCTGTAACATGTAAAAAATCAGGGAATCTTGGTTAAGGAGATGCAGGAATCCTTTGTGGTGTTTGTTCTTACAATCTTTCTATGGGTTTGAAATTATTTCAAAATAGACCAACAGTGACGGCAATTTGATAGAACTGGATGTACTCAAAAGGACGCACTTATCCCCCAAAAAAAGAGTCTATCTAGATTTTCTTCTCCTGGCTGGGAGTGGGGTTGGGAAAGTTTGACAAAGTGATTCTAAATTCAACCTCAAAAGAGAAGATGCAAAAAGATCATCAAGGCAGAAAAGCTTGCTCAGCCAGATTATTTAATATTTTAAATAACTATAGCTTCCTAATATGTCTTAAACAGGTTTAAAACATGCAGAAGTGGCCTGGAAAAGAGTCTAGAAATAGACTCAAGTGTGTAAGAAGGAATTTAGCATATGATTAGGTGAAATTTTATATCAGTGCTAATGGGACAAAGGATATTTTGTTTGGAAAAAATAAAATGAAAGCAGATCTTTACTTCGTTCACATCTTACTCCTAAGTAAATCCTAGGGAGGCTATTTGGAACAACAATTTAATGGCAGAAAATAAAATCATAGAAGTACTTGTCCTAAAAATATGGGTGCATACGATTATAGACCTTCACTGGGGTGGAAAGGTCTTTGTAATATAATGTAAGTTACAAATAGAAAAATTGGCAACAAAAATACATTTGGTTCCCATCTCCACATCAACTTCCAACAAGCAAAAGTTAAACAAAAAATTAACTAGAAAACAGTCACAAGAAAAATGATAAAAGATTAATAACACCATCACACAAAGACCTGTTAAAAATGAATAATAAGGAGAAAAATGGGAAAGGCTGTAAGTAAACAACTCATAAAAAAAGAAAAACAAATGGCCAATAATATAGGAAAGGGTTTTTACCCTCACTTAATACTTGAAGAAATGAGGAGTTTTAAAAGTGAGGGTATTTTTCTCCTTTGATAGCAGTAAAGATGCTTTGAAAAAATATTGCTGAAAATCCTGTGCTTGGGAAGTCCTGGGAAAATGGAACACTCTCTAGCGTTTTTGGAGTGAAAATTGGTACATTTTTCTTTTGAAGGGTTAGCAGGTCAAATGTAAGCATATAAACCTGTATGCATATGTTTTTTTTGGTGTGTGTATCCTTTGACCCAGAAACTCCCTCTAGAAGAATTTAAACATATAAGCACACAAACACAAATAAGGCTGTCTGTCACAGTGCCGATTATATTGATAAAACGTAGAAAACCACACAAGGATTCATCAATAAGTGATTGGTTACATAAATTCTGGTATAACCATATACAAGAATAATAGGATAATTAAAAATGAAGATCTAAATCTACATTTACTGATATACAAATATTGTGCACAGCATATAGATGAGGGAAAATAGCACACACTGAACTGTGTGTTGAACACAAACTCATGGTCTCATTTATGTGCAGCTGTGTGGCTGTGCTCCGTGAACATGGAGTGATGTCACCAAACTGAAGCAGGAAGAGATTCTGGATTTTTTAAAACTTTGCATTTTTCTGTATTGTTTGATTTCCTTTTACAATATTCATGTATCATTTTTATAAATCAGAAGACGAAACTTTTTCCTTTTGAAAAACCTGGAAGATATGTATATACTCTGAATATTTTACATCCTTCCTCATTTTAAGATGCTACAGTAAACAGCCTATCAGAGAATGTGTGGACACTAAATCTACATACTGTAGATTTCTAGGACTATGCACAGTTCCAGGAGAGATTTAAAAGGTCCATTTTTACAGTGATGATATATATGCACACACACGTCATCTTCTAATAATCACAGAAGATGAGGCCTGAGGGACAAGAAATGCAGAGTGAAGGAATGCCTGTATATTGTAGGAACTCAACGAATATTTTTTGACTGAGAAGGGGAGAATAAATGATGCCCTTATCTCTGAGATTCAAAAACAGAAGTCCCAATCAATTTGCTCAGATGGAGTGAGTGGAATATGTGTAAATTCTGTTGTATTTGTTAAAGAATCAGTCATTTTATTTTGGCGTCCCATCTTGTTCCATGTCTGCCGAGGTATGTGAGAGATAAAATTCCTGTTTTCCACACTGTCACAAGTCACAGTTGTCAAAGCCAGTGGCTGCATGGCAGACGCCATCTACAGGCATTCTTCTTTGCTGCTGGTGTACTGTGTCCCCCCACATCTCCTGGTGCATTGTGCACACACAGGCACACACACAAACACACACAGGCTAAAAGACACAGCCTGAAACAATAGGCTGAAATGCGCATGAAATCAGAGAGAAACATTTCCTGCACTTGGGTTTAAAAATAACCAACTGTACAGGGATAGGATGAGAAAGTTGTGGCTTAACAGACTTAATTCACTACTTCCAGAGCTATTTTCTTAAAACACACATCTGATCATGTCATTTCAAAGCTCAGACACTTCCGATGGCTTCCCAAGGCATCAAAATAAAGCCCAAACCCCTGGCACTCAAAACCCTATTGCTTGATCCTGTCCCAGCTGTGTTCCCTCGCCACACCCCGGGGTGGTGGATTCTGGAGGCAGGCTGGCTTGAACTGGAACCTTACTCTCCTGCTCACCAGCTCAGTGACTTGGGCAAGTCTGTTCACTTCACTGACTCCCAATTTAATTATCTATAAAAAGAGAGTCATAAATGAGATAACCTACCCAAAGTGCTTCAAGGTTTGCCTGAACCACAGGAAGAGTCTGATAAATACTAGTGCCCTTTCACCTCCTTCTGTCCACAGAAGAATGAAAAAGAGTACCAAATAGCAAATGGGCGCTGGCCAACCCGAAATGAAGGACAAGCCCAACATGCAGGGAGCTTGGGGTGAAGATCGCTGCCGGTGGCAGGAACAGCTTCTCAGCAGTGGTGGCCTCCTGGGCCCTGCAGGCAGAGACCCCTGCATGGGGACCTGTGGGAGCCACACAGCCCCCTCAGTCCTGAGGGAGCCTACAGGGCCACCTTTCCTGCTATGAATCACTGTGATTACCCAGGGCACAGACCCAGGAGAAAGTGTGTTCTCTCGAGTAAGCACAGGAACATCTTATAGTTACTGGGACTTTCTCTGTTATGAGAGGCATTTCATTTTAAAACCTTATTGGCACCAGTCTTTTAATGTGGCTGATGGCACAAAAAATTGAAATTTGGAAGAGTCTAAACTGGATGCTGGATGTTAACAGAGTCGACAGCAATAATAAATAAGAACAGCTACCATTTATCGAATCCTGATTACATGCCAGGCACTCTGCTTACTGCGTCACGTACACACTCCACAGCATCTAAACACCCAGCTCATTGCCTTGTTCTCGTATCACCATCTTACAGCTGAGAAGACAGATGAAGAGCGGTTCTGTAACTAGCCCTGTGGCACAGAACGAACGCACAGTGGGTCTGGAACTGGAACTCAGGCTGTTGTTCCCTCCAGCTGTCGCTCTGGCTACGGTGCCAGAGATGTGGCCACCTTGTTAAGCATCCTCCCACTCCCCTCTCCTTGTCCCCAGGCCAACAGTCACAAGCTAATGGCCCCTTGCCAATTTCCCTGATGGAAATGGATTCTGTCATAGCCTGGACTTTCACAAATCAAGAGAATGAGTACGGTGACCTGGATAAGAAGAGCTGTTTCTCAGGATTCCTGGGGTTGTAACTTGCTGCTAGCTGTCTGCACAGCAAGATAATTTGTAGCTTGTCCTCTGCGCATAGCCTGGGAATCCCCTGTTTTCTCAGTCATGTGGCTTGGAGAAAAGGCATCCCTCAGGATTCTCAGGATCCTCACTTTGGGATCCTCACCTGGGCCTGGGAACCAGCAGTTATTGAAATCCCGCTCCCCCAGAAGTAACCAAAAGAGCTCTCTGATACTATCTCCCCCCACACCCTCCAGCCCTCTCAAGCTCACATGCCTCTATTCTGCTCAGATTCTTACCAATACATGCCTGCTGTGGTCAGCCTGAGGATACAAAGCCTACAGAGCCACCCAGCATGCTCTGGGACAGGCTCTGATGAGGGACCACTGACTCACAGAGCAAACCCATGCAGACAGGAAAGCCCGTGAACAGGCAGTGAGCATCTGTAAGGCATGGGATTTAATCTTCATAAAACCTCTGCAACAAAATACACCTGTTTTACAAATGAAGACCCTGAGGCTTAAGCAGATAGAATGACTTGGCCCAGGTCACCCATCAGACTCCAAAGCCCATGGACAGGCCAAGACCAGCACTGTCTGGCATTATCTTCCCCTAGCCTTCTCCGAGACAAGCCACACAGGCACCAGTCCTGAGAGACGTACCAGGCTCAGCTCCCAACGCTCACTCCCCATCTCTCATCCAAATCTCTGTCTACATTTCACCACCCAGGCTGCTTCTTCCTGGTCCCTCAGAATCTTAGACTCTCCAAGTTAGCATGGAAGTGAAGCTCAATGCCAGCTTAGATGCTGCTGTACTCCAGCCAATAAAATGAATGGCCGTATGGCGTGGTGGAAATCACAGTGGACTCGAGCCAGAACACTTGGATTTAGGTCCCTACTTGACTACTAACTGGCTTCTGACCTAGGCAAAGGCACTTAATTTCACTTATGGCTTCCTTGTGTTTAAAATGGAGACAGGAAAGGGCATTATGCCAGAACAACACTGGTTGCCCAGCTCTCTACCCACATGACCTGGAGCAAATTCCTCAGGGACACAAACCACTCCAGTGTAAGGCTGCATGTGAGGTGGCGGGATGCTAAGATGGGAGGCAGCAGGCCAGGGTGAAGGAGGGAAGGGACCAATAGTTCTGTCCAACAGAAAAAGACTGCAAGCCACATATGGAATTATCAGTTTTCTAGCAGCCACATTAAAAGTAAAAAGAGGCCAGGTGCAGGGGCTCACGCCTGTAATCCCAGTACTTTGGGAGGCTGAGGTGGGCAGATTGTTTGAGGTCAGGTGTTCGCGACCAGCCTGGCCAACATGGTGAAACTGTCTCTAGTAAAATACAAAAAAATTAGCTGAGCGTGGTGGTGCATGCCTGTAAACCCAGCTACTTGGGAGGCTGAGGTAGGAGAATCGCTTGAACCTGGGAGGTGGAGGTTGCAAAGAGCTGAGATTGCACCACTGCACTGCAGCCTGGGCAACAGAGCAAGACTCTGTCTCAAAAAGAAAAAAAGAAACAGTTACAATTAATTTTAATAATGTATTTGACAAAATATAGAGAAATAGTCTTTCAATATAAAAAATTATAGGAGAGATTTTACTTTTTTTGGTATTAAGTCTTTGAAATCCAATATGTATTTTGCACTTACAGCATGTCTCAATTTGGGTGAGCCACACTTCAATAGCCATATGTGGCCAGTGCTGACAGGATGTGGCAGCCCAGGACTAACATTTCTAAGCCAAGCTCTGGCCTCGTATTCTATGAACATGATCTCATATTATCCTCCCCTTCGCTCTGCAAGGGCAGCATCACCACCCCTCTACACAGATGAGGAACCAGAGTCAGCACAGTTGAGCCACTTGTCCCAGGATCTAGGCTAAGGAGTCGCAGGAGGAGGATGTGAACCTAGGTTCACCTGGCTGAGAGGAAAGGCTGATCTAAGGTTGTGGGAATTTCACAGCACAAGCTGGCTTCCCAGATGCAGGCACCTGTTAGGTTTGGGGATGCCCTGTATAATCCATTTTACACAGGTCAAGTACATATGTACATTCCATAGGAGCGGCCAAGGTCTTTCCATCTATGGATTTCCTGGGCCATGAACCAGCAACTTCCTGCCACATCAGTCCCAAGCAAAAGCAGAAGCTGGGCTCTCCCTACCTAAACCCAGCATTGTTCTTCCCTCTTTCAAAATGCATGTTCATGCTGGTATTTTATCTCCTAAACAATTCTGTTTAATCCATGTTAGAGATTTGCTATGCTGTATAATCACCTTTTTGTAGTTTTTAATTCTTAAAGATGCATTTCTGCTACTTTTGAACAATTAAATGCAGTTTCATTACTCACTTTTACTGCGTGGAAATTGTACATCTATGACTAGCCTCAAGCTTTGTATTATGAACACTATTTTTCCCTTTATATCTTCAAACAGACTTTTGGCCTTTGCTTAAATAGGCATTTAGACTAAGCCGCACACGGTTTTGAGCTGATGTAGCAGGAATCTGCATAGTAACAAAACCTGAGTGCAGAACGCCTTTCTGTTACAATAGCTATCCCACTCTGCACTCACCAGCCCCAGAACTTTTCTGTGCTTCAACCATGCAATGCTGTCCTTGTCTATGGAACATCAGCCTGGGACTTAACCTGGTTATCATGTAAGCCTGGGCCTTCCAGACTAGTTATTCTGGGGCTGAGCTTGGTCAGGAGATGCTGTGTGTCCCAGGAGGGTCCACACTTCAAGATCACCTAAGCGGTCAGGAGGGATACAGATGAGGCCAGCCTTAACACCTGCTCATCTTGAGGGAGGGAGGCTCTCAAAAGGGAACACCACATCTGGGATACACTGAGCCCTCTGCCTCATGCCAGCCCTGCCATCCCGCTCACCACTACCTGACATTCAAGGCAGAAATGTTTCCAAAGGCACTGGCTGAGCATCCCAGGTGGCCGGAGACAGCAGGTGATTCGTGCTCACAAGTAAACCCTGGAACGAATGGCAAGATAGATATTCTTTCCAAAACGATTCCCAACTCTGATTAGACGTGTCTTTAAAATGGAACTGTTTCATAAAAACTGTCTTCTCGTCCAGAATTGATGTGACCATTTCCTCAGTCCTCCTTTATTTTAAAAATCCATGTTTAATCCATATTTAGAAATCCATACCCATCTGAAGTAGGTGTTAATTTACATGACCCAGGAGATGACATAAAAGGTAAAAAGTGAGGTGGGAAGGCCGGGCGTGGTGGCTCACGCCTGTAATCCCAGCACTCTGGGAGGCCGAGGCGGGCGGATCATGAGGTCAGGAGATCGAGACCATCCTGGCTAACATGGTGAAACCCCATCTCTACTAAAAATACAAAAAAATCAGCCAGGCATGGTGGCAGGCGTCTGTAGTCCCAGATACTCAGGAGGCTGAGGCAGGAGAATGGCGTGAACCCGGGAGGCAGAGCTTGCAGTGAGCCGAGATTGTGCCACTGCACTCCAGCCTGGGCGACAGAGCGAGACTCAGTCTCAAAAAAAAAAAAAAAAAAAAAAAAAAAAAAGCAGAGAGGGGAGGGTGCATTCCAAGTGTTCCCCAGCCCTGACGTCCCGTGGAGCCTGACAACATGCTTCATGACAGTGACACAGTGCCCGGAACACTGCAGCACTGTCTGTCAGGACTAATGACCCCAGAGGCAGCTGTCATTAGCCAATTCACTAATTAGGGGCCTGTTTGTAGAGCTAATGGGAAGGGTAATCATTTGTTAGCTTAAGTAAAACTCCCGGGCATTCCTGACAACTGTTATCATAGAAAAGTCTGGAAGGCAATTCATCTATCTCTGTGAAATTCAAAGAACCCAGATAACCAGTCATCTTTTACAGCACAAACCTCCTTTAGGAATCTGCTGGTAGGAGCTTGTCTTTGACTCCTAATATATCCTCTGTAGCTGCAAATAAATATGTCTACACATAGACCAGGGGCTTTTCCATGCTTGCACTCCAGTGGTCTGACTTCTGTGAGCTCAATCCAGGTTCTCAGACCTTGAGCCCAGGGAAATGCTCAAGGCTGAGGCCGCTGACAGGAGAAGAGCGCAGAATCCCAACACAGAACGGGCAAGCTCTCTGGTTATAGGCAGAGCGAGTGTGAGAGTGCATGAATGCATGCATGTGTGAGAGAGACAGTATGTGTGGAGAAGGGGGTATTTTGATGCTGCAATCAGTTTTCACTGGCTTGTATGTTAAAGATAAATAAAAACATCAAATTTTCTAAAGATGATTTTATTCACTCCTTATAGAAGTTTTAAAAAACATGAAGTGTGAATGAAGAATTGATGTGGTTTGGATATTTCAGTCTCCAAATCTCATGTTGAAATGTGACTCCCCAGTGTTGGAGGTGGGTCTGGTGGGAGGTGTCTGGGTCATAGGGGTCGGGGTCCCTCATGAATGGCTTGGTGCCCTCCCCATGGTAATGAGCGAATAATGAGAGTTGATTATTTAAAAGAGCCTGGCATCTCTCTTGCTCTGTCTTTTGCCAGGTGACACACCGGCTCCTTCTTTGCCTTCCTCCATAATTGTAAGCTTCCTGAGGCCTCCCCAGAAGCTGAGAAGATGCTGGTTTCAGGCCTGTACAGCCTGTAGGACCATGAGCCAAATAAACCTCTTTTCTTTATAAATTACCCAGCCTCAAGTATTCCTTTACAGCAATGCAAATGGATAATACAAGAATATTGAGATGAAATTTAACTTGCCACCAAAAGCTTCCTGAGCCATTCATTCATCTCACTCCTGGAAATGGTAGGAAATGAGGGTTGAGGACCCAGCCTACCAGAGAAGCCTTGGGGAACAAACGACCCCTACAGCACAAGTATAAGGGGAGGTTGTACCAGGCTTCGGAGAGGCAAGAAGAGGGGCCTATGGAAGCAGGTAGGGCTTCCATTCCAGAAGGGTCTTAGAGACTCTGTGGTCCAACTATGTCATGACATAGATGAAGAGATGAGGCTCACAGTGTGAGGTGACTTTTCAGAACCGTGGGTCAGTCCAGTAATAGCACAGACATGATCTCACTCTCCAGACACCCCTCCCTCCCGGACCCCAGGCTCCCTCAGCAGTCACCCAGAGCCTCACCCCACCCCACAAGGACCATGCTCCTTTCAGAAGCAGTAAACAACAATCTTCAAATAGGGCAACCTAGGACCCTCAGCCCAGCGGCAGCCAGGGCTGCTGCTAAATAACATCCAGAGAAGCCCCGCCTGCCCTGGGCCTGCTCAGCAAACGGACAGGGAGGCTCCAAGGGCCCTTCTTGCGCCCGTGCACTGAGTGTGCCCAGCTGTGTCAGCCCGATCTGGTCACTGGGCACATGTGCCATTCTGCCATGCCAGCAAGGCAGCAGGAAGGCATGTGCCAGCCTGAGGAGCCAGTGCCAGTGCCAACCCTTAAGCCACAAGGACAGCCCTCCTTCCTGCGGGAAGGGCTCAGGCTCTCTGCAGGGCTGCTGGTCGCCCACCACAGGCTCTCTGGACTCAAGGCTCAGGATGACGTTCTCTGGGCCCTAACTCTGGGAAGAAGCGGGGTGGGGGAAGGCCTCCTCACCAGAGGAAAAAGTAACAGATCTCTTTGAGGCAGTTCAGAAGTCAGGATGGATTTAGAGGCTTTCCCTGGGGGGATTTCCTGGGGAAGTGATTAATTTGCTGGCTGGAATACATTCAGTTTGGCAGTTGATCTAAACTCCAGGACTCATAGCAATCACTTAGGAGTTTGTTTACATGGCAGATTCCAAGGGCCTCGCTTGGGGTGGGGCCCAGGACTCTATTCCATGATTCTGAGGCAAGTGGTCTATGGGCCACCACAAACCAGGGTCACAGCACACTGGCACAGGCAGATCTGCAAAGCGTGGTGTTATCAGGGCTACCGAGAGGTGCTACGGGCAGCAGGGCATGGTGAAGGCTCTGAAGCCCCTCTCTCCTCTAAAAGAAGACAACAAGAGGAATGCACATCTCACTGGAGCCTCCGTGCTCTTAGATAAACATCCGCCTCAGTGATTCTGAACTTCGGGTGCCTGCAGGGTGAAACCTGTGTGCCTGGCTGAGGACAAGAAGGACCAGGCCCTGAATCCTGGCTCTGCCGCTTCCAGCCCAGCAACTTAGGATGCGTCAGCCTAGCTGAGCCTCACTTCCTCATCACAAAAATGGGGTGAGGGCTCCCCGTCCCAGGCGGGTTTAAGTGAGATGAGATGAGACGAGCCTTTCTGTTGTGAACAGTTTGTCCTGGCCCCTCTTTTCAAGTGCAGAATACACCAGGGGCCTGTAAGCTGGTATTTTGGAGTAAACACTATTGACTAAGATACCAATTCTCCTGGTAATCAGCTTGGAACAGAGGACTAAGAAGGGGAGCTTAGAAAGGTCCCAAGGTGGGTAACTAACTGGGAGGTATGTATGTCAAGGGGCACTAAGAAGAAAGGGGAGTGTTTGGCATGTCTACCTAAAATGACCTGGGGGGCAGACTCAGGTAGCTGCCTGAGGTGAAAGAGCCCAAAGTCAAAGTTTACCGGCTCCTCAAGCTGCCCTGGGCTCCGTGTCAGTCGCAGGGCCACACTGTGAGGAGCACAGACCGTGTAAACAGGGCCATAACAGGGAGCAGGCTGCCCTGCAGCAGCCTCACCAAGACCAGGGACTGGCGGATGAGGCTGGGTCGGCTCTGCAGAAGCAGGCAACCCAGCAAGCACATCCCACCAGCCTGTGCTGGGCCCAGGAGGGGAAGGAAAGGCCTGCTGCGAATTCCACCTTCATGTGCTGAACCTCAACTAAACCAACAAAAGGAAAAAGGGCACTCCCTGCCCCTGGTCCCTGGGAAACCCAAGGCTGACTCCACAAAGAACCTCAACTCTTTCCATGGGAAGGTAGGTGGAGGGTGTCCCCAGGGGTGCGGCCAGTCAGGGCTTTGGGTGCTGGGCAGTGACGGTGGGAAGCAAAGCCTCATGTTTCCCTTGGCGCCCTGCTCCACCAAGGCCTGCCCCCACAGAGCAGGAAGAGAGCCGGCCGCCCCAGGACTTTCTGATGACAGGGCAGCCAGTCTGGGCAGCAGTAGGGAGTGCAGCGGGACGGGAAGACCTCACTGTAGACACTCCAGGCTGGGGGCCTTTGGCAGATAGGAAGAGATGGGCGCTCCCAAGAGCCAGCCCTGAGCTGTTTCCATCAGAGAGAGTTCTTTTCTAACAGCCAGAGCTGTACAGAGATGAAATGGGAGGTGCTGGGTGTGGCTGAGCTAGAATGGGTGCTGAAACAGCACCTCTTGTTTTGCTTCTAAAGGAGATAAGAGCTTCGGAGTTCAAAGAGAGAAGGGAAGGGGTAGGGATGGATAGAGGTTTCCTTACTCAGCCCTCACAACCATCCTGTGAACAATGGATGGCTCACCCCTTTTACAGAAGAGAAAACTGAGGCTTAGAGGGAGTTACCAACCAAACTCCACACAACAAGTGAGAGGCACAGCCAGGATTTGACTTTAGGTTTTCTGCTCCAAAGCCCATGTTTTCTATTTCTACCTGACCACCTCCCAGAAGACAGAACAAATGCTGGCAGTGAAGTATGACAGTGTGGAAAGTCTTTGTGGAAGGGAAGATGGCCAGAGAGGGCCAAGTGACTTCCCATGACTGCAGCCTTCTCAGTCCACTCAACTGTGCCCAGGAATACCAAGAGAACTATGGCTGGACCACCAAGCTACTGCGGGTCACCTTTACAGAATTCTCGAGAATGGGAAACAAAGGAAAACTAGAAAGGAAGTCTTCAATGTCGGGATTTTCAAAAGGGTACATTCTATCAAATGAAGGCAGAGCCTAAGCTGGAGTCTTGAATGGTTTCATAAAGAGGCTGGTTTGGAGTACATGGAAAAGGAAGAGGTGATCACTAAGAAGAGAAGAGTCTGTTGGAAACATGTCAAACCACATTCCCTCCTCTTCCCTTCTAACAGGGATCCTGATTAGGAGACGGGGCATGCAGCGGCCTGACAGCTCCAGACACTTCCTACATTATTAGAGAGGATCCTTCATGATCCAGCCTAGTGGGAAAGAAATAACATGGGTTGGATATCCAAGGAGGTATGTTAGGAACTAGATGGATCACTGTACCTAGATGGATGAGGTCAGCTTTAATGGAGGTCCTCATTTTTGTACAACTTAACATTTTCATCAATGACTTAGTTGGGGAAGGCATACTTAGCAGGTTTATATAAAAGAGTTGGAAGGGGTCAGGTGGTGGCTCATGCCTGTAATCCCAGCACCTTGGGAGGCTGAGGCAGGTGGATCACTTGAGGTCAGGAGTTCGAGACCGGCCTGGCCAAAATGGTGAAACCCCATCTCTACTAAAAATACAAAAATTAGCCAGGCATGGTGGTGGGCGCCTGTAATCCCTGCTACTCAGGAGGCTGAGGCAGGAGAATCGCTTGAACCCAGGAGGCAGAGGATGCAGTGAGCCGAGATTGTGCCACTGCACTCCAGCCTGGGTGACAGAGCGAGACCCTGTCTCAAAAAAAAAAGAGAGAGAGAGTTGAGAGAGATGACAGAATCTATATATTCAAATAATCGTTCTATGGGCTGAACTGAATCTACCAGAATGAAGTTTACTGGGAATAAACATAAGGTCCTGTACTCAAGTCTAAACAGGGCACTTAGTAGCCATGCATGGAGGCGAGTTCACAGGAAGCTTTATATGAATAGTTACTGGGCCCAGCCAAGGAGACAGCAGACAACATGGTGAGTTCAGTGCTGCAACCCAGTGTACATGCTGCTGACAGAGATCAGCCACCAGACAAGAGAGACGATGCCTGCACTGCATTCTGGCTGCTTATCTGCTCTGGCTCCCCAGAGCCCAATTCTAAAAGGGAGCAGGTGGAGAGGAGACAGGGACTCCAAGTCAGGTGTCTGCTTCACTGGATGAGTCAGAGAAGGATAAAGTTGAAGGAAAAGGAAGACACGGGGGACATAAAAGTTATCTTCAGATATCTGCCCAGCTGCATGCACAGGTACTTTGTCACTGTGCTCTATAAAGCCTCAGGGGGCAGAACTAGGAAGCTCCCAAGAGTCAGCCCTGAGCTGTTTCCATCAGAGAGAGTTCTTTTCTAACAGCCAGGGCTATACAGAGATGAAATGGGAGGTGTGAGGATGGGCACTGGCAACTGAACTTGTTCCAGCAGAGGAAGTAGAGTTCCCAGGGTGACCACACATGAATGACCCCAACCTGTATCTAACTGGATTAGATGACTCTGAGGGTCCATCCAGCTACGGGGCCTGCAGTTTCAGGGATGCCACTAAGCAGTTACTCCGGACCTCATCTGTGTGTGTGTGGTGGTGGGGACAGTGGGAATGATGACGTTGGAACACATAGTGCTTTCTCAGAAAGTATGGCTCAGTGGAGATAGAGAGCCTCCGCTTCCCAGGGAGACTGGACTAGTGTTAGAATCCTGGACTTCACTCTCCTGGATCTAGCTACACCAGAAACAAACAAACAAAACCAGTGACCAACAGTTATAGGCAAGCTAGGTCTCACAGGGCTTTACTCTAGCTTGGAGCTGCCACCATGGGGCAGGCATGAATGGAGTGCCACAGGTGACGTGCGGCCAGCCTGCACTGGGGACACAATTCCTTTGATGGTGAACCCTTCAGGCTTGGCTCTCCTGGCAGGCATGTACAGAGACACAGAGGGCTCTGTGATGGTGGTGGGTGGAGACCCCAACCAGCCCTGAATGTGAACTTTCTTCCCATGGTCTAGAGGCTATCAGATCCTGAAAACAATCACCTGATACCTGTCTCTAACCTTTAAACTTCAAGGTCTGGTAAGATGGATATGCTTTTACACAATGCCGCAGAAGAAATCAGTCTTTCTGCAACATCCACCCTGGTCCAATAAGAACCAGATGCCAGGAGATGGGTCTCACCAGCCTCTGCCACAGCAGTCCCTCTGGTGGGCTCTCACGGAAGTCATCGCAGCCTGGAGCTGCTGCAGCCTCCCTGGGTTGAGTACTATGGTCTACTGTAGGCAGACCTGAGGGAAACGCTTTACCAATGAACAACTTCCTACCCCTGCCCCCAGGGCAGTGTCCTCAGGAGCTGTGTGTGCACACCACATGGGGCATCTTGCAGGGGTGCGTCAGCTCTGCCTTGCGGATGGAAAGGCCCTGTCTGTGATGAGGGCTGCTCCCTCAAGGCGCAAATAACTAGACATAACTGATGCAAAGCTTTCTCTAAAGAACAGGAATAGGGGAAGCTGCAAGACTTAAGAAAATAAATCTAACAGCAATGATGCTAAGCGGTAACCTCTCTACTGATTAAAAAAAGAAAAAAAGATTCCTCAACTGTAATAACATTTAATCCCTCCAGAAGCTAATCTAAATGTAACACTCAAAAGAAAACAAAAGTGACACAAAGGAGAAGAACCCCAGCCATTGCCTGTGGGGACGCTGGCTTTATTCCGGAAGTGAGTCCATTAATAGAGCTGGGAATGAAATGCCATTTTCATTTCAGTCGAGGGGAGGGGATTAATAAATTGTAGTCTCTAAGCCCAGTTTTTTGAGTCATGGATCTCTGAGCACTCAGAAAGCACTGGGCTGAAGCCTGTGCACAGTGGGGCTGCCCTTCCCCTTAAGCCTGCAGCTGCCACTTTCAGAGCTGGCTGGATGAGACGCCCTCTGCACACACTTCAGCATTTAGAACCCAACAGGACTGTGCTGAGCCCACCACCCCCCAGACAGCTTCCTGTGCCCCCTCGTTTGGGCACTGGGACAGTTAGGGGGCCCTTGCTCCACACACATCCCTGGTGGTGGACAGCAGACGAACGCTCCTGATGCTCATGTTCAGCGCATGCCCCATGCCTTGGTCAGGAGCCTCCCTGCTGCCCTGCGCTTGCCAGCTCCCCAGCCACCTCTCTAGCCACCTCCCTCAGGGCCCAGCTCTCCTTTTGGCCACAGCTGCTGCTTAGAGGCCAGAATCTCACAGTAGTCAGGTATTTGCCCAGCTCAGTTCTGCTTGAATGTCAGAGATCACCCTGATCCTCAGATGGACAGAGTCCTGGCTGTCCTCTCTCACATTACCCGACTGTTCCCTCTTCATTGCACTTTGTATAAAATCATCTTATTTTGTTGCTGACCATTTGTCTCTCTGCCCTGAGAGCAGGAAGCCTCCTGCCGGTTCACAACCGTATTCCCAGAACAGTGCCGGCGTGGGAGTGGAATATCTGTGCAATGGGTGAGTCATTCCTGGCTGGCAGTGTTGTCTCTGCTCTCAACATCATTACTGCTTGGTTCTCCCAAATGCTGCCAGATCTCTTTCTAAAACACAAATCCAATCATATCAATTCCCTGCTTAAAAGCCTTTTTTATGACTTGCCACTGCCTGCAGGATGAATCTCGAATTCTTTAGAATGCACCAAAGGCTCTTCACATTGGGACCACCCTGTCCCACCAGCCTCATCTCTACCCTCTCGGATGTTTGCTTCTTGACCAGCATGCCTGGTCCCCATCTTTCCCCTAATACTCCAGGAAGAGAGGCCCAACTGAGTCTCCACTCACAATGACCCCTGGCTGCACAGCCTGCCCTGGTCCACTTCACCTTGGCTCAGCACAAGGTCATTTCATCTCTGAGGCCACACTACTCAGGCAAAGCTAGTCCTGCCATCCTCTCTGTTGTGGGAGTGCTTTCCTCATTCACAGCTGCGGCACTCACCATCTGTCATGGGGTATTTCTTCCTCCATTTGGTATTCCTTGAGTTCATAAGTATTGGACCCTGAGGATACAAAGATGAATAAAACAAGGTTCCTGTCTGCAAAGAGCCTATCATCTAGCAAAATGCAATGCCTGAATATGTAAGTACAAAACAGACATGTAAGTGGCAGCCATGTATTGTCCCTGGGCCTCCCAGGTTCTCTGGGGGCAGTAAAGAGGGCAGAGCTAACTCTGTCTTGGGTGGGCCAGGAGGATTTTAGACAGCCTTTCAGTTTTATAAAGAAAGACACATTTGAGCTGAGCCTAGAGGAACGAGAGTCCTAAGCAGGGAGGTAGGGATACCGCAAGCGCGGTGGCTGGGAGTGCGTCTGTGCTCTGCAGCGGAGGCAAGGGCCTCCAGGATGGTCTCGTCCATTGTTATATATCCTCTCTGGCACAGAGCCCGCCACCAAGCCAGCCTCAGGAAAGGCTGACTGGACTGAATCAGAGGTTAAGTTCTAGATCACCATCATTTAATCCTGTCTTTAAGGAGAAATGATGATTTAAAAAAATAAGGGGGAAGAAGGTTATGCAGCAAATACACTCCAGGCCCTCCGTGGCTCTCTTCTGTGGATGGTGGCCCCCGGTGCTGGAGCAGGGGTTATGAGAGTAAGCCATTAAAAGGCGGAAGGCCTCCCTGCTCTAAGCAGCGTCCAAGAGAAAACCACTATGATACTTCCTAGGAGAAGCATGGTGGCTGGCTGCCTGCCTGCCAGCCAAGGGAGACAGAGACAGAACACTGATGCTGTGGCAGAGGAAGTAGCCCTTCTGCGGCTCATGGTCAGATGAGGAAGAGGGCTGGCTGTATACTACATTCCTAGTGCAGAGTGACATGGCTGCTTTTCTTAAACATTTACACAGGAAGATGAGCGCTGTACAACTTCCCTTGGTTATCACATTATAATGCCTCATTGCAAATCAGGAAGTTCTTTGCTAGATCTAACTTAAGTTTTCACAGCTGCAGTCCAAGGCTGTAGCCCTGATACTATTCAGACAATGTTTCCTTCTCAGAGGAATAAAATTCCACCCTCTGGTCAGCCTTCTCCTTTCCTGGGGGCCCAAACCGTGTGTTTACCTTTTCAACCCTTTAACCATTCTGGTCTCTCCTTCTGGAGCCTCTCCAATCTGTCTACTGCCTGCCTGCACAGCACAGCCCCAAATGGAGTGCCAGGCACCCAGCACTTGATTATTCGTGGTGACAGGACAGAATGAGGAGCAGAAAACCACTGCCTAATTCCTAAGTTTCATTTACTCCAGTAAAGGTTCAACATCATTCCTGATGGAGCATTTGGATGCACCTGACAGCACAAAAGCTATACTGACTGCTGCAAGCTTCATCTCTCATTACTCCCCACTAACACATGAAATGACAGACGCAAAAACCTGGCCAGCAGCTCCTGAGCAAGTGAGTGAGCCAGGCCTGAATGAAAGGCAGGTGATGGAGGCCTGGAAGGAAAGGCACCCACCTTTCCTGCGACCTCAGCTCCTGGCTGCTGGGTTTCTGACCCAAGAGCCTCAGCATGTCCATGGAGGAGAGGTCCTCCAGGCCCACCCATTCTGGCTTCACCCAGAATCACAGCTCATCTGTGCCTCAGGTGTTCACATGTCCGCAAACTGAGCACCAGGTCCCCAGTTAAAGGACATTTCAAAACCACAGCTCAAGTTCACGAGGAAAGGAGATTGCCTCATACACCTCAGAGGGTCAGAAGCCAAGCCCTGACTGGCAAACAGCACACTCCCAGTCTCTCCCACTCACACAACCAGGAACCCAGCTCTGGGGACAGTGCCTGTCTCATGGGGTCACCCTTAGCTTAGGGATCTGATGCCCAATTGCACTGGGAACCTCCCTCACCCCTGGCCCAAGTCATTATTGTTCCTTTCCTTGTGGTTGTGTTTGTAGTCTTGTTAATTTTTAATTATACAAGCTATACGTGAGAGTGTGTGTGTGAATATATATATTTAAATAAACATTTCAGATAAAGCTATAGTCCCTGTTGACCCTTTTTATAATCCTGAACTTCTCCGAACTAACCAGAGA
Source organism: Homo sapiens (assembly GCF_000001405.40). Lineage (NCBI taxonomy): Eukaryota > Metazoa > Chordata > Mammalia > Primates > Hominidae > Homo > Homo sapiens. Next base: position 126,924,315 of record NC_000003.12, on the reverse strand, counting down.
TAACTATTATCTCCCGTCAGGAACATACCTTTTTCAGACATTTTCTCTATATCACATAAATATGTCTACAGAACAGAGATGGTCCTACCATATGTGTGTCAACTGTACACATGCACTGTAAACTACAAATCGCTTTTTCCCCAACCAGAGGTCTCTGGCACCTTTGCAGGCCAGCATGCACGGCGCACACCGTAGCTGTCGTCTGGAGCTCCAGGGTTGGGGGAATTGTGTTACGCATTGCCTGTCACTAGGTATGAGGCTGCCTCCGATTTCCACACTCAGAATCAGGGCTGCAGTGCCCTTTGTGCCCATGGCTGCTGATGCACACAGGTGAGCATCTCTCTGGGATACATCCCCAAAAGGAGAGCTGTGGGCTCCTATGTGTCCCTTTCCTTCTTGGCTCCAGGTTCAGTCACTGATACACTCTATGCACCTAGGAATGTGCTCTCTTTTGGCTATTACACTCCAATCTCTCACTAAAATGTGAGTTTCTATGTAACAACACCTACCATGCATCGAGTGCTTACTACGTGCCTGACACTTTCCTAGAGGCTTAACAAATTACCTCATGATGCCCTCAAAACAACCTTTAGAAGTAAGGGAAGTGTGTCTCAGCATTTATGTCATCCGACCCAGGCCACACGTCAGGTAGCACTGCTAAGATCTGTACCCTCGGTTACCACAAAGTCCCTGCCCTGTGTGGGGCTCCTGCCTTGTGCAAGGCCCTGCCTCAAATGAGGTAAGGCCCTGTACCGTTCAGGGCCTTGATCCAGACAGAGCCCTGCTGCATGAGTAGGTGCTTAAACAGTCAACCACTTATTTTTAAATCCCACAATGGGTGTCAGTTCATCCACCCATCTGACACTGACTTGGTGAGCATCTCTCAAGGCTAAGTCCTGGCTTGGATGGTGGGGATACGGAGATATATAAGATATTAGGTTGACCTCTGGGTAAGACAAACAGTAAGCAGAAAAGATGCTTAAGTTAAATTTTAAACAGAGCAATTTGTAAGAAAAAAAGAGGGAGGTCATTCTAGACAGAAAGTAGGACATAAAAAGACAAACAGCTTAACAGATTCTGTGTTCTGAAATCAGGGACTGAGAACAGAGATTCAGAATTGAAAACTCTATCTTCAGAAATCATCTGGCCCAGGGATGTCAAATGGGTTTCACCTTGGATGCCAACCCCACATGGCTGAGATGAGCTGCTACAGCGCAGTGGCAAGAAGGATCTCAAGGCCCCATCCAGGTTCAGCAGACCACTGGGGTCCCTGTGTGACATCTGCCCTGGGGACAAGACAGAAGCAGCCTCTTTATCACACCCACAATGCCACCAGTAATGGCGGCTCACCCCACCACCCACAGAACCAGCCAAGGTGTGGTCTTGAGAGAAAACTGCCACCCGGCGTCTTTTGTTTTGACTTTCCATTCCCATATGCTACACAAACACTAACCTCTGTTGGTCAACTCTCTCTCCATGCATCTTTGTTTCCCTTGTTACAAAGGTGACAGAACTCTGTAAGCACTGGCATGGGAGTAAATGCCTGCATAAGATGCCACAGCTTAGGAAACAAGCACGTGTACACACACACACACACATACACATACACACGGGAGTCAATGCCTGCATAAGATGCCACAGCTTAGGAAACAAGCATGTGTACACACACACACACACACACACACACACACACGTGGTGGGCTGAAATTCAGGGAAGGGCACAGCCAGCACTGGGACAGCCAGGCAGTCAGGTAAGCAGCAAGCAGCTGAATGCCCCCATCCTGTACATTCTGAGAGATACGTATCTCAGTACAGCAGAAAAGAGCAAGGTAAGACTCATCCACACCTGGGTTCAAATCCCACCTGCCTCTCCCTGGGGTGTGTCTGTAAGCAAATGTGGATTATCACATTTATCTGGTTTTCATAAGAAGCTGACAGAAGTAGGCACCACCATCGTCCCTGTTTTACAGACCGGGAAACTGAGTCTGAGAGGTCAATGAACTTGCCTTCATTTCCACATCTGCAGAATGGTAATAATAATGGCATCTGCCAGCTGAGCTTCCTGTGAAGATGGGAAACAGGGTACAGTACATGTGCCAAGCACAGTCGCTGGCACGTGATGATGTTTAGTAAAAGTTTTTCAAATAAGAAATTAACTAAATTTTGATTAGTTAAATGAATGTATCAAACTGGTTTTGATTTGTTAACTTCTCAAAGAGCCAGGTCCATCAGATTAAGCCACACATGTCAGTAAATTTCTGCATAGAAAACGTTTCCTTTAAAAGGTCATCAAAGGTTATCTACCTAGGGAAGTGAGATGTAGTAACATTTTTGAATTCAGGCTAAGACGAATGTTATCTGGATTAAAGAATGTTTAGAATGCCATTTTCTTTGGGGTTTAAATAAATGACCACTGTTTTAATAGGTCATCTGTCATTAGCTCACTAAATAAATACAAACTGGGGAAGCTCAGGTTCCTAGAAACAATTCATTCTCTCAGGTGGGTCCTAAAGACTGTCCCAGAGTTTACTAAGTCCTGTCTTCCAAGTGCAGGTGAAAGCACTACAGCAGCTCTGCTCTAGCGAGTCCCAAGGCTGCCACATCCACATTAATCAGGCCTCTCTGGATCAAAGTCCTTGGAGCACAATGGCTCAGTTTCAGGAAATAGTTAATAACCTTCTTCCTTCAACTCAATTGTTCTAACCTCTTTGAGGGCTGGCTCTCTGTGGGACCAGGGAGGACTGTACAAGTTTCCTGACAAGGAGAAGCCAAGACAGATTCTGAATGAATCCCACGGGAAGCAGACTGAAGGTTGTCATAAAAAATAGATGTGACACAATAAATGCAGGAGGTTCCCTGGGGTCTTCATCTCTTCTTCAGAAAATCTGAACAATTCTGCCTTCTGTGCTGCTGTGAGGTGGGTGGGCGGGGGTGTACATACACATTTTGAATATTCACTTCTGTCTTAACAACAGGATTCTTCCAAAACAAGAGGCCCTAGTCTGTGACTGTCAGCCTTGCCATCAACACTCCTCTTTGGTGGAGAGCTCCCTGTTGGCCCTGAGGCAGGAGTCTTCTGAGATCTTGACATATGCTGGGCTTGATCCAGGCCTCAGTACAGGTTGGTGTCCTAACACAAGTTGGGAGAGTCACCCGTGCCTTCAATGCCCCATGTTGCTAAAACGAACAGGGTCTGGCTTTAGGATTTTACTGTTTCCTTTACCTGGGGTGGCCCTTTACTGCTTGGCAAACTCTAGTCATTCCTCAAAAACTAAGTTAGGACCTCTAGTTCCAGCTACAATGGAGCAGCTTGTGAAAGGCCTATGCTCTTCCCCGAGGGAAAAAAAAATTAAGTTGGAATACAAAAAAATCTGTGGGAAGGCATCTAAGGACCAACGCAACTAGGACTTGAGGTCCAAGATTATGAAGGGAAGGGAACCGTGGAGAGGTGAGTATTTGTTATTAGACCCACTTTCCCCCTCAAAGTTTCTGCCAATTCTTGGATCAGGAAGACAGGGTGAATGTCAGGCAAATAGCTTCAGCTGAAAGGCAAGAAAAGCTGTGGAGATTCTCGGCAGTCTCACAGGATGATAGGGAGGCAACGCTCCTGTGGAGGCTGCCTGGGCAGCTAGGACTTAGGGAGCCAGGATTCCAGAGAGAAGGGAGCTACAAAGCAGTGAGACAATACTCAGTGGTTTTCTTCTTTTAAAACATTTGTCAAATTCTTGAGCTACTCAGGCAAGAAGCTAAGAAGCTAACTAAAAGAGGCCACTGAAAGAGTGGAATTTTCAGAAGTCTCGCAGAGCCGAGAAAACAAAAATGTGGTTTAGAGCTCACCAAGAAAGAGGGACCCTGGAAAGCCACATCCCTAGGCATCTCTGGGGAAGGTCATATCACAGAGGACCTCTGTCATCTTTCCAGACAATTTCTGGCACTCAATCAAGAATTATCAGACATATAAATAAATAGGACCCAAGAAAAAAAAAGGCAACAGAAGTAGACCCTCAGATGATTTTAAAATAACTGTAACTAATATGTTCAAGAAAATAGAGAGCAAAAGGTAGAATTTCACCAAAGACTGGGAATCTTAAAAAAAAAAAAAAAGCAAAGCAAATAGAACTTTTAGAATTAAAAACATTTAGTAACTGAAATTCTGAATGCAATAGATTTAAGGCACACTTGACACAATAAAGAGGATCAATGAACTAAAAGACTAATAAGGAGAACTCCAACTATAGCATGGAAATTTTTTTTAAATGAGGAAAACCAGAAAAAAGAACAAGAGACATATGAGACAGTAATACATATAACCTTAGAAAAGAGGAAAGATAAAATAGGGGAGAGTGTTATTTGAAGAGATAATGGTAAGAGATTTCCAAAACTGAGAAAAACATGTCAACCTTCAAGACCTGAATCCAAAAAGAATAAAATAAAGAAAATCAATAACTAGGTATGGCTTAATAAAACCAAAGACAGAAAATCTTAAAAACAGAGAAAAAAGAAGTAAAGGAATGACAGCAATATCAACAGGTGGCTTCTCAAGGAAAAAAAAAATCAAGAATGTAAAGATATCTTCAAAGAGCTGAAAGAAATGACTGCTATATTTTTCAAAATGAAGGTGAAAAAGGTATTTACATACAATTAAAAATAAAACTTTTATCAGAAAAGATACACTAAAAAAAAAAAAAAAAAAATGAAGGCCAGCCAGATGCAGTGGCTCCTGCCTATAATCCCAGCAATTTCAGAGTCTGAGGCAGGAGGATTGCATAAGCCAGGAGTTCAAGACCAGCCTGGACAACATAGTGAAACCCTTTCTCTACTAAAAATTTAAAAAGTTAGCCGAATGTGGTGGTGCACACCTGTGGTTCTAGCTACTCAAGAGGCTGAGGTGGGAGAATCTCTTGAGCCCAGGCGGTTGAGGCTGCAGTAAGCTGTGATCATGTTACTGTACTGCAGCCTGGGTGACAGTGAGACCTTGTCTCAAAAAAAAAAAAAAAAGAAAAAAGAAAAGAAATAGTAGAAAAAAAATTAGAAGGAAAGTGTCAGAAAAAAACAATAAATCTGTAAATCATTAAAAATACAGAAAATTTGAACATGACTAACCAACTTAACCTAATTGACAATACAGAACACTACATCTTACTGACAGAATACACAATCTCTTTAAATGCACATGGACAGTTTACCAAAGCACATCATATACTGGACCATAAATCAAGTTTCAATAATTTTCAAAGAATTTAGAGTATGTTCTCTAATCACAGAAGAATTAAACAGAAACCAATTATAAAAAATGTAACTAGAAAACCCCTAAACATTTGGAAATTAAACAACATACTTTGAAATAACCTATGAGTAAAGAAGAAATCAGAATGAAAACTGGAAAAATTTTAACTCATTTATACTAAAAATACAGTATATCAAAACTTGTAGCTAAAGCTGTGTTTATACAGAAATTATAGCCTTAAATGCATACATTAGAAGATAAATAAAGCTTTGAAAAAGGTAATTTCACTGCCCTTAGGATCAAGTTAAAATTCCTACTATGTCACAAAGTTCTGCATGGTCTGGCTCATGCTCACTTCTTGGAGCTTCCTCTTTTTCTCTCTTCTCATTCATTACTCTCTAGCCATACTGGCCTTTTTTCAATTCCTTCAATAAGTTAAATTGCTTCTTGTCTCAGGGCCTTTGCACATACTAATCCAGCTGTTTAAAATGCTTTTTCCCACCATGTGACATAGTCTTTCTAATTCAGACTCTTTCTTTCATGGCACTCATTGCTATAATCAGTTAATTGAGTAACTGCTTGTTGTGCAATTAATTTTAAAACATTGTTTGTCATTCCCCAAATGTTATAAGCTCCTTGCTGGCAGGGACTGCAGCTGTCTTGTTCATCACTGTGTCCCCAGGGCCTAGCATGGTGTCTGGCAAACAGCAGGCACTCTATACATGTGTATTCAATGAATGAATGAATACATGGACATCTAGTTTACCATCTAAGCAGTTTACTCAAAGTTGTTAAAAGATACTCCATGGTCTTAGAAGAAAACTCCTCAATATTACTGCTATCAGCAGTTGGCATTTATTTCTATGACATTTATGATGTAATTTACAATATCTGTTAATCCAAGAAATATCTCAAAGATTTCTCTAGATGTTTAAGTAATTTCTAACTGTACACTGCTTCGTGTTTACTGTATTTGGGAAAAGGAAAAGTGTTTTTATAAGCTCAATTTATATATCAAATCTGTTCTACTCTATACCAAGCTAGGTGCTGTAAAAAAGTGACTAAAATGACTGCCGTTATTAACAGTATCTTAGCCCATTCAGGCTGCTATAATAGAGTACTATAGAGACTGGGCAGCTTATAAACAATAGACGTTTATTCCTCACAGTTCTGGAGGCTGAGAAGTCTAAGATCAAGGCACTGGCAGATCTGATGTCTGGTGAGGGCCCACTTTCTGATTCATAGATGGTGTCTTCTCTCTGTGTCCTCAACATGGTAGAAAAGGAAAGGGAGCTCTCTGGAGTCCCTTTCATAAGGGCACAAATCCCACCCATGAGGCCTCCACTCCCATGATCTAATCACCTTGCAAAGGCCCCACCTCCTAATATCGTCACATTGGGAGTGAGATTTCAACATATGTGTTCTGGAGAGACAAACCATTTAGTCCATAGCAAACAGTCACACTAATATCAACAACAGTTGTTGACATCCTAGGTCTACTTTCTATGTGGAATCTTGCTTAATTATCACTTAAAGATTAAAGAGTGTGTCCTGTTTGTTTTGTAGGTGAGGAAACGGAGGCCTGTAGAAGTGAAGTGACTTGCTAAGGGGCAGGGCTGAGGTCTGAGGCCTGGTCTGAGTCCAAAACCCGGGCAGGCTCTGAGAGCTCCACCCTGCTGCCATCTTACGTCCAGGCAGGGCCTGCAAGGGACAGCAATGATGCAAAGACAAACAAAGGAAGAGCAACCCCAGCCCTGCCACAGAACCAGCTGTGACCACGGACAAAAGGAGTTATTCGACCTCTCCAGCCTCAGTTCTTCACTTGTATATGAAACCAACAAGAGTAAATATAGAATGGAGTTGAAACGCCTTGCAGAGTACTTATTGCTTAGTAAATAGTGCTAATTATTATCAAGGGATGCTGTAAACAAACAAAAAAACCTTAGGCTTCACTCAGATTAAAAATACATTCACATCCATCCCACCTTGCTTTCAGGGGATATGAGGATGAGAAAGGCTATGACAATAAAGCCAAATTCACAAAGGGGCTGGTGGGGCAGGAGTCCCTGCCCTCATGATGGTGGGCCACTTGGCAGGTGACAGGCATTATGGTTACCAACAGAAAGCTGTCTGGCTTCTCCCCCAGTGCATCTTCTCCTTGGCAGGTGGGTCCTGGCTCCAGGTAGAAAGGGAGGGGCCATTGGCCTTGGAAGAAGCTGCTCGGGTAAGAGAATGGGCAGGAGCTGTGGCCTGGCCCACCTCCGGGGATCACATCCATGCTGTAGCTGTCACTCAGCAGCCTCTTTGATGTGGCTGCCACCACAGCTCTCCTTCTCAATGTTCTGTGATTCCAAGTATTTCTCAGCCCCAGATGAACAGGACATACCGGGGGGAACCCTTCAGAAACAGGTCGAGAGCTGACCACCAGTGGGGGCAGGGTGTCTGTGTGTGGGGTGGCTCATACCCTGCAGGGCAGTGCAGCACCCTTCAACTCCTGGATGCAGGCAGCCTTGGTGCTTACTCACTCAGGCCCTGTGGGGTCCTAGCATCAGCAGGGCTGGGCTTCTACCTCAACACCTGTCCTTGTCTCTATCTGCCTTTTGGAAGATTCTCCTCCTCTCAGGCTCCTAGTATTGCTGTAGGACTTGAAATTTCAGGATAATTGGCCTTCTTTTTTTTTTTTTTTTTAAGATGGATTCTCACTCTGTTGCCCAGGCTGGAGTGCAGTGGCACGATCTCAGCTCACTGCAACCTCCGCCTCCCAGGTTCAAGTGATTCTTCCACCTCAGCCTCCTGAGTAGCTGGGATTACAGGCATGTGCCACCACATCCGGCTAATTTTCGTATTTTTAGTAGAGATGGGGTTTCACCATGTTGGCCAGGCTGATCTTGAACTCTTGACCTCAGGTGATCTGCCCACCTCGGCCTCCCAAAGTGCTGGGATTACAGGTGTGAGCCACCACGTCCAGCAAAATTTCAAGATAATTATTTTCTCTTTCCCAAACCCATTCTTAAATGGCTCTGCCACAATATGTAGTATCCCCATCAGCTTTAGGTGTTTAGTGTTCAAGAATAAAACCCCTACACTAAGCCTGAGCAACATGGTGAACCCCATCTCTACAAAAAATACAAAAATTAGCTGGGCGTGGCACATGCCTGTGGTCTCAGTTACTCGGGAGTCTGAGGTAGGAGGATCACCTAAGCCCAGGAGGTCAAGGCTGCATTGAGCCATGATTCTGCCACTACACTCCAGCTGGGCCCACACAGTGAGACCCTGCCTCAAAAAGAGACCCCAAAACCAGCCTACATTGTTCCCTGTCCTATTCTGTGCCTTTGGGTCTATGCTGACTGTTTGTCTGTCCCTACTGTCCTTCCAGCTCCTCACAGTTCTCTGCACAGCTGTTTTTACAACTATCATGCAAACCTGTCTCTGACACTTCTTTCTCATGAGGCCAGACCCACTGCTCACAATTCTGTGCCCTGAGGGCTGCCAGGTGAATTGTCCCAATTCACTCTTGGGAGGGAGCAGCTTTCCCAGGAAGTGGATGGAGTTGGTGGTAGCCCCTTGGCTAATTTATGAAGGTCTCTCAGGTCCATAGAGACCAACTTCACACAGAGAACCCATAAGACCCAATTCCTTCCCACAAGAATCACTTTCTGACCTTCCAGGGAACTGTACTATTGACTGAGCAGAGCCACACTGGTACTGGGCACACTGTGAGCACCTCCCTGCTCCTGTGACGTTCCAGCTGAGTCCTCAATGGACAGCATAGGAGCACCACAGACAGGGGACAGAATGCTGGCACTTAGGACTGTATGATCTGAGCAAGCCAGCAGCTCTCTGAGCCTCAGTTCCTCTGGGCATGAAGTGTGGGCCACCCCGAGCATGACTGCGCACAGGGTGCACTGCATGTACCAGGCACAGGAAGCACTGAGAGGGGACACCTTCCCCTAAAAACCCCTCCACAGTCAGAGGGGAGAGAAGCCAGCAGAACCCCTGCCTCAACTCCTTCTGGGGCCTGACGGCCAGCTCCTCAGCTAGCCACACAAGGAAAGGAGCCCCTGCTCAGCAGACACTGGGCCCCGAAAATAACTCTGCAAGTCTACCCTAGCACCACTCCAATTTGCCAAGGAGCTAGATAAGAACTGAGTGCTAATTTGGCCAATTACAGATGACCAATGGCTACCTCAGATCCAGGTGAGAGAGCTGAGGAACAGATGGTTGTGTGTATTATTAGGGAAACTTGAAATTAGGCAGGTGGTGGCAGGTTTCAAGCCACATGTGGGAATTTTTACAATTGTGGGCCAAGTTTACAAAGAATAATAAACAAATTCTTACTTTATTGTGCTCTCCATCTTTGAGGCTGCCTCATGGAATTGCTCTGAAGACAGTTTATACATCTCAGCATTCTACAAGGAGAAAAACAGAATTGGTTACCAAAGACTGAAATTTCCCTCTGCTCTCTAATGGGATGCAACCACATTAGAAATTGACAGATGCTAATTTCTTGACGGGCATCAAAGCCGACTGGTAATTAATCCACACCTTGGGTTCCAGCTCCACCACGCATGGCTGCTGCTACAGAATCCTAGAATAGCAATGGCTGCAAGTGCGTTATGAGATCCTCTAGCTCAGGGGTTGGCAGACCACGATCCACGGGCAAAATCCAGCCTGCCACCTGTTTTTGTGAATAAGGGTTTTACTGGCACACAGCCACGCTCATTAGTTCACATATTGTCTGTGGCTGCTTCTGTGCTACAATGGCAGAGTTGAGGAGCTATGATAGAGACTACATGACCTACAAAGCTTAAAATACTTACTATCTTTAAAGAAAAAAATTTCTCAGTCTTGATCTGGTCCAACCCCTATTTTATAGGTGGACTTTCCTTCCCGGAGAGGTGAAATGACTTCTCCAAAGTCACAGAGCAACGGGGCAGTGTAAGGACTACAACTCAGTTGTCTAGATTCCCAGTCTGGGAAACACTCTGCTGCCTACCCTGACCACCCTACTCATCGGAACAGCAACCATCTGTCCAGATTGTTAAGGGGAGCATCCACAGGCACACACTTAATTTGTCCTGAGATCACCCGGTACATGTGCACCTACAGACCCAGGTTTGTGGAGGGAAGGCCCAGGCCTGGGAGCAAAACACAGCTGGGTCTAAGCCCTGATGCCACCACCGTGTGGCTCTGGGTAGGTTATGGAACTTTGCTGTGCCTCAGAGGCAAGCTGCTCCAGGCCACAAAGGCCCAGGTCCACATCCTCCTTTCTTTGTGAAGCTCCAGCACCTTCGCATGTTCTGAGGGGAGACTGACATTAACGCATCTGCTAGCAGCCTCCTGCCGTGCTCCAGGTGGGAGTGTGGTGAAGCCCACATGTGGACATGTAGGCAGCAGGGAGAAGGCCAGCCTTGGGCTGACTCATGAGGAAGCAGTTTCAGAAATGAAACAACCTGAGGTGGGGCAGGGCCCGTGGTCAGACCTCCCCAGTGCGGGTGAGGAAGGTACAGCAGATGTCACCTGGAGTTGGCTTAAGGTCAGTCCCTTTGCAGACACAACCACATCTACTCCTCAAAGCCTCACATGGGCACTTTGGGAGGCTGAGGTGTGTGGATCACCTGAGGTCAGGAGTTCAAGATCAGCCTGGCCCAAATGGCAAAACCCCATCTCTACTAAAAATACAAAAAAAAAATTAGCTGGGTGTGGTGGCGGGTGCCTGTAATCCCAGCTACTTGGGAGGCTGAGGCATGAGAATCGCTTGAACCCAGGAGGTGGAGGTTACAGTAAGCCGAGATTGTGCCACTGTACTTCAGCCTGGGCGACAAAAGTGAAACTCCGTCTCCCAAAAAAAAAAAAAAAAAAAAAAAAAAAAAAAAAAAAAGGCTCATACGGGCAGCATGATTATCCCCGTTCTACAGATGAGCAAATGGGAGCTTCAGGTCTCAGGTACCTACTGCAGGCACAGATCAGTCAGTCCCTGAAACACGCTTGTGTGGCAGTGAAGGAACTTTAGAGCTGCGTTGCCTTGCACATTTGTAGGACTTCAACTTGGCTCTCTCCGCCCACCAGGCACACAGCTAGCCTGGCTGAAGCTGGGCAGACACGAAGTGAGAGGTGCACAGAGCCACCCAGGGAAAGCACTTCCTGTGCACCACGGACCCCCCTCGGCCTTCTGCAGGGAAGGTAACTGAGGCAGGGATGGACCCCCCACCTCTAAGGCCATAGGGCATGGAAGGCAGGTCCAGATGGAAACCAGGCCCCCCTCTAGTCTTACCCCAAGGACTCCCCTGCTGCATCGTGGCCTCAGAGAAGTGCTGACTGGGAGGTAAATGTGGAAGGTGAGCCCCTGGGGAAGAGCACCTGGCTCATGTGATGAGGAAGAACCACCAGGTGCTGGCATTCTGCCCTGGGCTGGGCCGGGGGAGTCAGGGAGGCCTGGGGGCCACCTCTGGGCCTTTCACCCTCCACTGCCTGGTGAGCTTAGGCAAGTCACCTCGCTGCTCCTCACTTCTGAGCCAAGGAGATAATGGATGCCTCCCTCTACAGCTACTGGGAATGACAGCTGGGAAATGCCAACCCTCCCGGCATACGACAGGCACGAAATAAATACAGGTTCTCCTCCCACCACAGCCAGCTGCTGCCAAAATGCCCAGCAAGGGGGCTCCAGTGTTCTCTCTAGAGCCCTCACATTCAAACGAGAGATTACGTCTTTGCCTCGACCAGTCCAGTATCCACCAGCACTGCCTGTCCTGGGCGAGGCGGTAGGGACAGAGACATAACAACTTTGGGCCTCCCTCCCACTCCATGCAGACGCCCTTCCGCCACAGCCTGGGTGGGAACTGCTTAGCTGTCTGAAGTTCCCCTTCATGAGACCTCATCAGGAGATGGCATGGACCACAGACCCACATTTTGATTTGCGCTTTGGCATATGCTGGCGGTGTTCTTTGGGTAAGTCACTTCTCTCAACAGCAACACAGGGTATCACCCAGCCTGCAGTTGGTGGAGAGACATCTTGGCACACAGCACCCACCTCAGCCCACCACAGCCACTGAATTTTCCAGAGCTAAAATGCACCTCATCCTAAGCCCCGCCCCCCACAATTCATCCTGGCCTACTTCCTTTCCCACAAAACAACCTCATGGCTCAGACCTTCTCTTTGAGCCAAACCCCTCTTCCTGTGGTTGTGCCCACAGGGCTCCTGAGTGTCAGGTCACCATCCTGCAGGCCCAGGCACCTGTTGCCAACCTTCTCAGAGAGCGAATCCTTGGCCCAGATGGGCCCGGCCTGCTGTGGGCTTCAGTAGACACTCAGAGCCTGTGCTCAAGATGCCATACTGCCAGAAACAGCCTGGCCCCGGTGAATTTGGATAGTGCTTGGGTTTGATTGCAAGCTCAGTTTGAACATGTGGTCAACTCGATTTGTCACAGGAAGTACCCACAGGCCAAGAAGTGGCGGTGATTACCCTGCTGCAGCTTCCTCTATTGTTTCTCAGAATGACTCAGAGAAATTCCCCGTCCTGTCCTGTCCTGACCCGCCTACCCCACTCATCTAATCTGCCTAAGCAGACCTACAGGGACGGATGTCCTCACAACCGCAGCTCCCTTGGCACTCGAAGGTCTCCGGCCCACAACTTGGGAATACCAAGCTGGCTTCCTGTGTTCACAAAGCTGCTCATCCACCAGGCCTTTCCAAGGCTGCTGGAGTGGACCCAGACTCCATCTCCTGGGAAGGGCAGGGCACTCTGTGGACTCCTCAACCAATCACCAGGTCAGGGCTTCTAGAAGGACTAGACACTACCAACGTGCACACTGAGAACCCGCCAAGTGCCAGAAGGTTCTGAGACAAGTGTGGCTTGCTCCCTGGCCTCGTGGAGCTCTGAGATGGTGGCATCATAATTACAATGGGGTACTCAGCCAGTCCTCCCAGGTGCTGTGGGGCACCTGAAAGGACAGCCTGGCAGAAACCATGGGTCAGACTGACTTCCTGGGAGCCAATACCTGAACTGAGGCTGAGTTTTTTTTATTTACACTAAACAATGTTTTTGAAAAATACTTACATATGGTTTTAAAAAACAAAAATGGAAAGCATGGAGGGTGTGTGGTGAATACTGAGCCTCTTGGCCAGCCTGGACTCAGCCCTATCCCTACTCCTCTGTGCACCCCGTCCTTGTCAGGGCGAGGTGCTGTGCATGCATGGGCACATGTGTGAGTGAGCACACACATGTGCCCCACTTGTTCCTGACACTCACTTGACTGCAGCAGACACGATCTGCCACACCTCATCTTTCCATTGATCCTCAGAGACCTCACCCACTCCAGCTGACCAGCACTTAGTAGTAGGAATGAATACCCTGTAGTGTCATCCCTTGAGTATCACTCAAGCAGCTCCCCATCCTTGTACAGAGGTTGTTTCTAGTCTTCTACTATTATAAACAAAGCTAAGAGGAACATCTTGGCATCTAGAACTTTGTGTGTATCTGTAGGGAACACTGTATAAGTCAAATTCTTGGGTCAAAGGGTGTATCCATTTTAATGAATTTTAAAGGATGAGCAGAAATGAGCCAAATGAGAGGGAGGTCTCCTGAACACAGGCAGCAGTGCGAGGAGCCTGGGGCTGCCACAGGGCTGTGCATGGGGCAGGAGATGCCACTGTTGCTGCAGAGGCACAGGGCAACGGCCAGGAGGGGACGTGGAGGATGCCAGCTGCAGGCTCAAAAGCTTGGACTGCACCTCATGGGCAATAAGGGTGAAGAAGGCTTTCCTTTTTCAGTGAAGGAGGGGCAGGGAAGATTTGTTTTTTTTGTTTTTTTTTTTTTCCTGAGGCAGGGCCTTGCTCCTGGCTGGAATGCAGTGGTGTGATCATAGCCCGCTGTAACCTCGACCTCTGGGCTCAAGCTATCTCTCCACCTCAGAGCCACCCCAGTAGCTGGGACTACAGGAGTGTGCCATCCTGCCCAGCTAATTTTTGTATTTTTTACAGAGAGGGGGTTTCGCCATGTTGGCCAGGCTGGTTTCAAACTCCTGGGCTCAAGTGATCTGCCTGCCTTGGCCTCCCAAAGTGTTGGGATTATAGGCGTGACTTACTGTGCCCAGCTGATTTGTGTTTTTAAAAGAACATTCTGGCAGCTGTGTGGATGATGGCATCCAGCTCTCCCCGGCTAGGCCGTCAGTTCTCGAGAGCTCCTGGAACCCTGCAGCACAGAGCCTGGGAAGGCAGCATGACTGTGCCTGTAAAGGAGCCCTGCTGCCCACTGAGAGACACTGGGAAACTTCTCTGAAGTGCGCTCTACCGAATTCTCACACATTAATTAGCACCCAATGACCAGGGACTATTATTTCTGGGTGATTTTCTTTCCCATCGGACTCTTTAGTTTCCCAAATTTGCAGTCTTTTCCTCTGCCCTGTAGACAGCTGCCCCTCCTCCTCCTCCAGCTGCCCCACATGCACATCTGAAAGCAGGAGGCCTGACCTCCATTAATTAAATCTGCCATTAAAAATTAAATAACGTGAGTAAGAAGGTGTGAGTGTTATCTCCATGGGTTTCCAAAGTCACAGTGTTTCTTCAATTACTTCCCGAGCAGTTTTCATATTTCATACTGTCTGATTTCTCCAAGGGCCTGGATCTGTGAGATCAAAAGCAAGGGTGAGGGTGAGGGAAGCATGGTGAGGAGGCCGGGGAAGGGAAGATGACAAAATGTGTCTGAGCAGAAGAGATCACCCGGCAGCCCCTGCCCCAAAGCCAGAATACAGGTGCGGGGTGGGAGGAGGACATGGGGCCCAGAGGTCTGAGGGGAACCCCCATAACTATAGAGCAGCGTGGGACCAGTGCATTAAGGCATGTGCAATCACAGATGTGAAGAAAACAGAGCCTAATCTGTGGACATTGGGGAGAGCAACTTTTGGACTGGAGCCCTGAAAGACACCCCCTAACCACCTCCCAAGTTAACAGCAGTCATTCACGGCCTACGGTGTGCACAGGCTGTGCTGGGCGCCACGGGAGAGAAGGAGCCTAAGAGGGTCACGGCACTTGAGGATTTATGTCTAATAGCAAAGAAAGAACCAAGGCCTCAGGAGCATTCCAAGAACAGAGCGGCAGCACAGGGCAGTGGCAACGTGTGCATGCCGTGGTCAGACCGCCTGTGCAGGGTCAGGACCCACCTCTTCCGGGTGTGTAACCACAGGCAAGGGTCAAGACCTCTGGGTCTGTTTCTTCAGCTTCTTATCTGTAAAATGACAACAATGACAGAACCTCCTTTCTGCAGTTTTGTGGGAATCGAATGACAATGCATATAAAATTCTTAGAACAGTGCCTGGCACAGAGTAAATATTCAATACCTGTTTTAATAACTAAAAATCTCCTACTCAAATGCATAAAAACCAACCAAGTATACTATGTATTTGGAAGAGAGATCCGAGAGTATCGGAAGTGTCAGGTCTCCTTGGGGATGTAAACTCCACACAGATAGGGACTTTAGCTTGTTTTGTTCACTAACCTATCCCCAGAGCCTGTAACAGTGCCTGGCAGAGAGCAGGCCCTCAATGTAAAGTTGAGTAAATGGAAATAGGGGTCAGAACCACTACAGAAAATCCGACAAGATGATCCCACTTAAGAATATCTGAAAAGATGATCAGGACCTAGTTATTTATAGAGTCAACCAAGAAAGTTTGCTGATTCCCACTATTCCCACTCTGTGCCAGGCCCTGCTTAAGGAGAGCTGAGAGGCTCATGTGGAAGCCAGCTGGGGGTAGCACAGAATCCGACCAAAGCACAGAGGAGTCTGAGGGTGGGGCCAAGATAGGTGGAAGGGAGTGAGAATCAGGAACCTGGAACCTTTCCCACGCAGTGAGAACATTTCTCCAAATGCTTTGAGAGAATGCAGGAGCCAAACAGTCACTGACTGTGCTCTGCTCCCACCAGCAATGTATTCAAAACTCCAATCAAACAGTGATATGTCCACTCACAAGGTTCAACAGCCCTCCTCAGGCCAGGCACTGAAGCAGATTTTCCAACAGGTCAATTCCCGGCAAGCTGAAAGCAGTATTTCAAGGTAAGAATTACCGCCCCTTTGACAGATGAAGAAACTGAGGTTCAGCAAGGCAACGGGTCCTACTCTGGGTGTCACAACTTCAAGCAAAACAACAGGATCCGAGGACAGGCCTGGTGGCTTTCCACACAGTGGCAAGCCTTCTATTCTACCCAGCTGTCCCTTGGGAAGAAAAATAACAAACCAAAGGCCACGCAGATGCCAGCACATGGTTCCACGTAGAAAAATGTGCAGCCCAGGATCCTGCTGCCCAGGGCAGGGGAGAGATTCCCAGCAAAATTAGTGCAGGTTGGAAAAGGGCCAAGGGTTGATGATGCAAGTAAATCCCAGAAATCTGAGAGGAACAGATTGAACACAGGAAAGCCCTATCCAAGATGCTATCAACATGGCCAAACACTGGTCATCTGGGGAGATTTGGAACTCAACAGCCTAATTATCCAAAGCTTCTCAAAATTCACAGGAATGCTACATTTTAAGCAAAGTGAAGAAAATTAACATATTCAGGATTTGGAGAAAGAGTTTCTGATGTGAAAATAGTAAAAACCACAAATAAGTGAAAAATGAACACAAGTCTTTTTAAAAAGGTCCAAATAATCAATATAAAAAATTAAAGCTCAGGACATGCAGTCAGCTACACAACCAATGAATGAATGAATGAGAATTTTAATTTCGTTAAGTGGCTGCACATCTGGTTCTTAGCAAACTTATGAGGCTAGTTGGCTATGCCCTACTGTGCTGTCATCTGGAGAGGGAGACCCCTCTTTCCTGTCTTGTTCTTCACTTACCCCAAACAAGTGTGCAGAGACCCTAAAGAGATTCAGAGATCTGCCCTGACTACAGTCAATGCAAAGTCAGCTCAACTGAACCTTCCATGCAACTTGTAATTCCTGAGACCCTAGGTTGGCGTCTTTGCCCATTCCCCTTCTTAGCTATCTCAGCCTTTACCTGTTACCCCTGAATTCCCACCATCAGATGACCGTGTTTCCACCTGAGAGACAACAGCAGCTGCTGCTGGGCATATGTACCCCCAGCACTTTCCACTAGGGCCAGGCATGCCTCTGCCCACACCCATGGTCCCTATACCCTCAAAAGAGATGCCCACCAGTCATCTGGGTTCTTTGTTCCAGCGTCTGCTGTGACATGGATGATGACTCCCCCTTCCCTGAACGTGCTTCTTCATTGGTCCAGGGAGAAAAACTCCTACCTAGCTTTCAGGGGTGCTGAGGATCCAATGAATAATGAACGCAAACAGACTTGAGCACAGCAGGAACCAAGAGAGGTGAAGTCCTTGCCTTCACAGAGCTAACGCTCTGGATATGGAGGGGGAAAAAATACAAAACCACAGCAGGCTAAATAAAGTGAAAAGGAACAACAAGGTAGGGGTATTGTTGTAAATGACTGGCTAGGGAAGGCTCATCCCTCCCCGACCCCCGGCTGACACTGGGCAGAAGTCCGAATCATGTGAACGAGAAAAGTAAGTCAAGACTGGGAGAGGTCTGGGATGAGACTACACCCGGCGTAAAGCAGCAAGATGAGCGCTGTCGGAAGGTGTTGGACCGCACGAGGCACAGATGCAGGGAGGGCCAGCAGGGTTGGGCCTCAAGCCGCAGAGCCCGTTCCAGAGTTGGTAGGGAGCCACTGGGCTTAATCAGGGAAAGGACCCCATCTGATATCCATTCTGGAAGGACTGCTGGCTGCCGTGTAATGGTGTCGACTGGGAAGAAAGAGTGGAAGTGGCCATCAGCCTGGAGGCCTGGAGGCCTGGAGGATGCTGCAGTGGCCCAGAGAGATGGGTGGGTCATTCCCTGAGGGAGCATGGAATACCATCTCCACTAGTGGCAGTTCAGAATGAGACAACACCACAGGCTTGGACCTGCTAAGTTTGAAACATAGAGGAGACAATGGGTGGGGAAGTCAAGACAGCAGCTGGAGTGGGAGTGAGGTGCTGAGGATGGGCTGGAGTCTAAGACTCAGATCTGATGGTGTCTGTGCAGCATCTACTCAGGAAGCTTGGCCCTGGTCAGAACTGTGCTCCATCAATGATCTGATCCCACTCATATTTCCTCTTTCCCTCTGCCAGTCATTCTCCTTCCAGAACTCTCCTGTTACATGCCCTCGTCTCTTGGTTCTCGCGTGATGCCCCTGATTCCTGCAGTTCTTGAAGTAGTGAACACCACTAGCTATCCAGCTTCTGGAGGGCTACCTGTCATTCACCACTGCTTCCTATCCCATGGGTCCCTATCTTAGGCTGCAACCAAATTCAGAGAACCCTGTCTCCTTGCTTGTCACCTGACTCCTTCCCTTTCTGTTCACTGTCACTGCTTTCATTCAGTCTTTATTATCTTATGAGTGGACAAACACAAGGACGCACCTCACACACCCCCCATCCTGGCCACCCCGCTGCTCCATCCCCTGACTGTGGCTATAGGGACAACCCTTCTCTACAGCTCTCAGCTGAGAACTTGCATGGTTCCCCTTTCCTGCAGCATGACATCCTGACATCCAAGACACCCCCTGTGAGATCGGGCCCTCTCTAGTAAACAATCTTGGCACTGTCCCTGTAGGCGCTGCACTTCTCCTGCAATGCCTTGCTGTTTCCAAGCCTCCATGATGTTCTAGATGTTCTTTCCTCTGCTAATTCTTCCCTATCTACCCAAGAAACTCCTGTTCATGCTTTGAGACCCAACAACAAGGTCATCTCTGCTGAATAATGTCATTCCTCTCCCAGGCAAAACTAATCATTCCCTTCCCAGTGTGCTGTACCAAGACACACTTTTCAGTGGTATTTCCCACTGCAATCATCTGTTGACATGCCTGTCTCCCTGGCTTAGACTGGGACCCGCTTGGGCTCAGAGTCAGTTCTTTACCTTGATGGCTTAATGCTTGGCCAACCATGGGTCTGACAGATGCCTGCTTGAAGTATGAATGAAGGCGCTGTTTCTTGGCTCGTTCTGGATGTGACACATTCCAGACTGCTCTGCCCTCATCACCTCTAGCCTAAGGTAGTCAAGTCCACTGCTCCCGCCCCTGGCCTAGCCTCCTGGAAGCAGCAGGTGCAGTCCTAAAAGCCATGCCTCATCACCTCACATCCTAGCTCAAGTTCCTTCCCTCATCCACCAGGGCACCCCACCCTTCCCCTTCTAGACACCTCATTCTAGGACATCTATTCCATGTCCTATTTCTTAACGAAGCTGGCTGGCTGCCATCTAAACCTTGCTACAGTGTGAACTGCTAATTAGAGTGGTAGTGAGAGTGGCTTTAGGTGAGACCTTCCCAGAAGTATTGGCATTTGTGAGAAGGCAGAGAAAAGATCGCTCTATGTCATTCTCTCTCTGTTAGTGCCATGATGGGGAGTCCAAGGCTTACAGCTGAGTGTTCTAGACCATGCCTCTTCTGGGTCTGTGGCTGAGTCTATCATTTCAGTCACTACTGGGGTGTGTGTATGCTGCCGATGTATGTAGTTGTGTGTATATATGTATACATACACACACACACAGACTTTGCAAAGAGTAAAGCAACAGATAAGCGTATAGCTGTGTTAATTAGCAATAGCCGCACAGGCTTTTTAACAATGTGATTCACACTGAATACTAAACATCAGCCATCAGTCTTTGGGGGAGTGCTGAGCATCATCCCAGAAATATTTCTCACTGCAAGTGGCCAAGACAAGTGTTTGGGTGGGAATGACCCACCTCTATGGTGGACCTTGACAGGGGAGCCCCAGAGGAGACACATACAAGGGGTTTTAGCCTATAGTTTCCTGGAAAGGGCACACACAGGAATTTTTGAAGACTACAGGGCTAACCAAATGTACCCAGTGATTTGTAAGAGGAGGGGCTAACCAGGGGTGAAAGGCAGCTCTGTAACACTGTCCCTGTAGGAGACAGTATGAGGGAAGGGTTTGTGTTTTGGTATATAAGAAGATAACAGAAAAAGTGTTCAGAGAAATGTGATTATTCAAGAAAAACTTCATGGAAGAAACGCCTGATCAACAGTTAAAGGCAAAAGATCAAAGTCCCATTTAAAGTGATGTGTAAAAAACAATTTTTAAAATTATGCTATGGTACGTGAAAGGTAAATCTCATCCTACCTAGACCCAGGGCCTGCAGACCAGGATGGGATCCCCTGGAGCCAACCTGAGGCCAGGGAGAGGGTGTTAAAGCAGAAAGGAAGGTAGAGAGCTTCAAATGGCTGCAAAGTACAGAACAGCATTTAACCTAGATGGATAGAAGTCATGTGAGGGCAGACAAGGAGGGAATTCCACAGTGTGCTGGGAGTAAACAGGATCGACAAGGAAATCTACTGCCGTAATCACTCCACTGGCAGGGTGTGGGAGGAGGCAGGGCCGTCCAGTTGGGTGGCACCACTATCTGCACAAAGGCTAGGCAGCCAGCCCTGCCTTGGTGCTGCTGGGTAGTTGGTTTTTACATTTGCAAAAACATATTTGACTAAATGACTATCTAAAGAGTTTGAAAACAAAATGCATAGCACAACAGAATTTTTTTTAAAAATCAAGGGACATGAAGTTTAATTCTAATTCTGCTACTTACTAGTGATCTGACCCCTGAATAAGATTGTACAGGGTCTTGATGGTGTGGATTGCTACAATTCTCTGTAACAGAGTAGAAGAGTAGAAAAAATCCAAGGACAACCCAAAAGCTGGGAAATCCGAGGCTGGGAGGGAATTCCAGGGTTAAGGGACAACGTTATGCCCTGAGGATCCAGTGCGGCTGCTCAGACTGAAGGCGGGGGTGGTTCTCTGCATCAGATCTACAGACATTGTGCATTTGGGCCAAGGAGGCATTAACAGATGCTTCTGCTCTTTGTGCTGATCCTAGAGTTCCACTTCCAGGTGGAGTGCAGAGGGAAGGCTGGACGAGGCACTGCACTCAGCGTTTCTTAGTGTTGGAGATGCTCAGTCCTCCTGACAGCGGCCAGCCACACTCCTGAGAGCAGGCCCCAGTTCCCCTCAGAATATCCCTAGGAGATGGCCTTGCTCCCAAGCAGGCAGCTTACAAGCATGCCTCCTGACCTCCCTTCGCAGGGAACTGACCACCGACTCTTGACTTAATCTCTGCCTGCTCAGTCTTCGGCAGTATGGCACTATATAGCCTTGCTACTCAAAGGATGGCTTCCACGCCAGCAGCACCAACATGGCCAGGGAGCTTGCTGGAAATGCAGAATCTCTCAGACCCTTCTCCACACCTGCTCTTTACAAGCCTGCAGGTGGTCCATGTGTGTGAGGTCCGAGGAGCATGGATGTGCAGAAGGGAGGCCTCTAGGGGTCTTGTCTCCGAGCACTACATTGATTTTTTTTTTTTTTTTTTTGAGATGGAGTCTTGCTCTGTCGCCCAGGCTGGAGTACAGTGGCGCGATCTCGGCTCACTGCAACCTCTGCCTCCCAGGTTCACGCCATTCTGCTGCCTCAGCCTCCTGAGTAGCTGGGACTACAGGTGCCCGCCACCATGCCCAGCTAATTGTTTTGTATTTTTAGTAGAGACAGGGTTTCACCATGTTAGCCAGGATGGTCTCGATCTCCTGACCTCATGATCTGCCCGCCTCGGCCTCCCAAAGTGCTGGGATTATAGGCTTGAGCCACCGCACCCAGCCTACATTGATTTTTTAAAAATCTGAATGTCCTTGATTTGGTCTTGCTCTCCTCTTCCTAATAGTCCTTTTATCCTTCATATATCTGCAGCTCCCACTGGGCTCTGGAAGGCAGCCATGCTGTGGCCCTCAACTCTAGGCCAGTGGTCCTCAACCCTGGCCGTGCACTGGCAATACCTAAGCCACTGTTACACGTTTTGCCTGAGCCCACCCCACACCACAGAGACCCTGATTACTGGTCTAGGGTGGGCCTTAGGCATCAGTGTCTTACAGACGCTGTTGTCTTACAGAAGCTCCCCCAAGAGATTCTAATGTGCAGCTCATGTTGAGAATCGTTGTTGTAAGGTCAGGGAACCTGAGCTGGAGACCTGAGTTTAAATCCTGGTTTCTCCACTCACTAGTTTTATGCCTTAGGACGAATTACTTAACTTGCGCGTTCCTGTTTCCTCATCTAACAAAGGAGGGCAGTAGGAGTAGCTATCTAGGAGATCTGTCCCTCCCTCAAAGGAATATTAAAGGATTAGACAATGCAGGGGGAAAGCTGAGTACAATGCCAGGCAGTGCAACAAGCACTCAATGAGTGACAGTGGCTACTGGTACCACTTTCACTCGTGTGGTCACACAGAAGAACCGTGACCCTCTAGTTATCATGACGCTGTTGAGTCTTCTCATATTAGCACCACCCTTCCTCACATGGCATAATTTCAAATGTTCCCCAAATCCTGCTTGCACTCTTTGAAAACAGCCTCAACTGATCTACGTTCCAGAATGAAATATAAGTCTAAGATGTAGTCTGAGTCGGAAGCCTCCTCTCTCACACATATTATACTTTCAGAGACACAATCTTAGACTGCATTTGGATGGTTCCATTTGAGTCAATTCCTGTTGGTGGCCTCTTTAGCATCCATTCCTTTTCTCCCTCTCAGACAGCTCCCACTTCCCGTGGGGAATCCATGTACTTCTAGAGAAGTGGACTACAGCTCCAGATCCACAGGTGGCAGGATGTGACTGAGGTCAGGCCAACTAGTACATTCCCGTGCCCTGGCCACAGGACTGATGAGTAACCTAAGGTGGTCCAGTCAGGATGAGTGAAACTTAGGACGACTGCTGGGAATTCTGAGACACAGACAGCGCCTCCCGTCAGAGGACGGCAAAACTAAGAGTCAGAAAATTAGCAGTTTATGGGTGAAGCCGACCATGTAGGCTACACCACCCTGGGTCTCCTGTTACACATTTCTCAGTCAGTAAGTTAGTCAGAGTTAGGCTCTTCCTTCTTGAAGCTGACAGTATGCATCACCACTTGCCCCTGTGAAGCTGTTTCAGCACCTGCTCTGTGCCAAGTGCTGTGCTGGTGATATGGTTTGGATCCGTGTCCCTACTGAATCTCATGTCAACACCTCCCCAGTGTTGGAGGTAGGGCCTGGGGGGGGTGTTTGCATCATGAGGGCGGATCCCCCATGAATGGCTTAGTGCCATCCCCTTGGTGATGAGTGAGGTCAGGCAAGATCCAGTTGTTTAAAAGTGTGTCACACCTGGCCAGGCGTGGTGGCTCACACCTGTAATCCCAGCACTCTGGGAGGCCAAGATGGTAGGATCACCTGAGTTCAGGTATTCAAGACCAGCCTGACCAACATGGAGAAACCCCGTTTCCACTAAAAATACAAAATCAGCCAGGCGTGGTGGCACATGCCTGTAATCCCAGCTACTTGGGAGGCTGAGGCAGGAGAATCACTTGAACCTGGGAGGCGGAGGTTGCAGTGAGCTGAGATAGCGCCATTGCACTCCAGCCTGGGCAACAAGAGCGAAACTCCGCCTCAAAAAAAAAAAAAAAAAAAGTGTGTCACACCTCCCGTCCTTCTCTCTTGCTTCTTCTGCTCCAGCCATGTGAGACACCTGCTCCCCATTCGCCTTCTGCCATGATTGGAAGCTTCCTGAGGTATTCCCAGAAACAGATGCTAGCACTGTGCTTCCTGTACAGCTGGCAGAACCGTGAGCCAATTAAACCTCTTTTCTTTATTAATTACCCAGCCTCAGGTATTTCTTTACAGCAATGCAAGAATGGCCTAACGCAGAAAGCTGAGTGACTTACAAACAGTATCTCCTTTGATTCTCACAACACTGGAAAGGTAGGTGTCACCCCCTTTGACAGGCGATACATGCCAGGCTCAGAAAAGTCAACTGACCTGCCCAGGACATAGAGGTAGGAAGTAAAAAGGCTAGGGTTAAGATCAGGTCTCCAACTCCATATCACACTGAGCTTAATGTCAAGGAAAACTCCCAACGTCTTTTCCATTCACGTTGCTACACATTATGTGTACAGTGAGCTTTCTGGGACACAGCAAAAAAGCCCAATACTTTTTCCTGTCAAATTTCAACACAAAAAATTAACAAACGTACAATTTAACAAATAAGATCTGGTGAGATTGTGGGAGATTGACTTATCACTGTGACAATCAGGACACGCTGGTTGTAAGTAACAGACAACTAGAATCAAAGTGGTCTGATCAGCTCAAGGGAATTATTGGCTCTCACAGCTTCAACATCCAGTGGTGCTGTACAAATCAAGTGGCTAGATGAGGTCACCACAAATTTGGTGATTTCCATCTCCTGGCTCTGCCTTCTTCAGGTAAGGTTCATGCTAAGCATGGTTTTCCTCTCGGCTGCACTGCTGAGGGCTGCAGCAAGAGCACAAAATGTCCCTTTCCAATGTGCCATGGAAGGGCACTCTCAAGACCAGGAAAGGTGAATGGATGAAACAAAAAAAGAGCTGTGCTCTCTGAAGCCCAAGGGATTATTTCTCCCAGGTCCCCAAACTTCTGTCTTCTGGGTGGGCTGTGTCATCTAAAGCAACCACGATAGAGAGGAGGATGGTGTATGTACATCAACATCAGTGACTTGGAGAACACATTAGAATTGGCATTGGGTTCATCTCACTCAGAAACGCGTGGGCTATATGAATAGAAAAGGAAGGTTTCCAAACGAAAATCCAGATACTGACACCAAAGAAAGGAAAATGGATTCCAGGCAGCCTAATATCGCAAATGTCTTTGACCATCATTCAACACATTCACTATCCATTCAAGCTTTGGAAAATTTGCAAATTTGATGAGTAGGTTTCTTCACCTTTATCTAAATCATAATCAAAACAACGACCAGGATAGGAATAAGGAAAACTCTGTGAGTTAATGCTGATGTGTTTCTTAGCATTTTTCCAATAAAGTAATTAAACCTATCACACAACCTAGGCATCTCAACATTTAGCCACCTGACCCAGAACAGTGTTATCACATCCCTCCAAACACTGCACAGAAAGGCAGTTACAGTAAACCTGAGCTACGCAGTCTACTCTTTTAGACATCACTGAAGAAAATAATGTTAGCCCAAGACCCTCAGAGTCAGTGGTGGCACCCAGAGCCTCACCTCTGTGTCTAACTGCCTGCGGGAACCAAATGCCCCACAGGTCCTCAACACATGTACATTTGATGTACTACTTCCCATCTTATCAATTTCCTCCTTTTAATATTTACTGAGGTGAAATTCACATAACATAAATTTAACCATTTTAAAGTGAATATTTCAGTGGCATTTAACAAATTCACAGCCAGGTGTGGTGGCTCACGCCTGTAATCCCAGCACTTTGGGAGGCCGAGGAGGGCAGATCATCTGAGGTCAGGAGTTTAAGACCAGCCTGGCCAACATGGTGAAACCCTGTCTCTACTAAAAATACAAAAATTAGCTGGGCGTGGGGACGGGTGCCTATAATCCCAGCTACTCAGTAGGCTAAGACTGGTGAATCGCTTGAACCTGGGAGGCAGAGGTTGCAGTGAGCTGAGATCGCACCATTGCACTCCAGCCTGGGGAACAAGAGCGAGAAACTCCATCTCAAAAAACTAAACTAAACTAAACTAAACTAACTAACTAAATAAATAAATTCACCACCAATGCTTCTACCCACTTCCAAAATATCTCTATCATTCCAAACAAAACCCCTTATCTCTCTGTTTTCCTCTCCAGTCCCCATGTCTCCTCGGTGCCCCAGCTGGCCAGATGCGGGCCCAGCACTGTGCCCAGCACAACTCAGTTACTCAGGAAATAAGTAACCGTGTCTATTCCTGATGACTTCCCAGCTGGGGAATAAAGGGAAGCCCAGAGGGGCAAGCAAATAGCAAAACAAAACAAACTTTCCCAAGTTTTAATGTTCAGCTTTACTGGGGAAGAGCAGGGGGACCTCGTTCCCAGCCTGACTTTGGAAGGACAGTCCAGGGGGTGCGAGCCGGGCTGGCGGCAGGATGCTGACCTTGCACTGGGTCCTGCGGACCTGAAGGGCCTCACCCACAGCTGCCCAAGCCTGTGAAAACTCTAATGGAGAAGGCCACTGCCAATCAGCAGAGCACAGTATTTGCGAGACAGGTTTTGCAGGGCCTCTCCACACACCAGGGTGGTCCTCATGGAGACCCTGCAGGAGTTTCCATGTTCCCCACTCCACAGGCAGAGACTGAGGCTGAAAGACTCATCTAGGGCCACAATCCCAGTTGGTAGAAAACCCAGGACTGTCCACATGCAGAGGGCTCCTATGCTGGGGTGTACATGCCCATAAAGTGCCAGGCAGCTGGAGGGAAGGGACAGGGAAGGGAACAGCATTCCAGGCAGAGCAAATGGGGAGCCAAAGGGCCTAGGGGGACAAACTGAAAAAAGGTCAGAATGGCTAGAGGTTCAAAGTGCCACTGCAAGTGATCTCATTAAATCCTATCAGCCAGAGAAGGCTGGGAACATCGTCTCCTTTTTATAGCTGAGAAAACAGGTTCAGAGAGATGAAGAATGTTGTTCAAGGTCACAGCGCCAGTGAGTAGTGGAGGAAAGATTTAAACCCAGGTCTGTCTGACTCCCAAAACCATGAACTGCCTACACTTTCTGCAACAGACAATACAGAATAAAAAAGTCCTTCAGTAAAAGCTAGTAAGGAACAGGCACAGGATAAAATCAGATGAAAAAGTAGGTTTGCTCTGTTAATAATGTCCTAGTTAAAAGAGTAACACCCTGACTCCAGCACATTAACCCACAGCATCACCACTATATTAATCCAAAAGAAGAAAAATCTTTCAGAGTCGTTATCTATTGATACCATGGCATGCTTGTGAAGAGAACCTTGTCCATGGTCATAGTACTTAGAGATAGAAAGAGGATTAATGGTTCCTGAAATGCGGCCAGCCTCGATGAATAGAGACGCTAGCCCTGCTGCAGCAGTGTCTGTGGGACCCTGGGGAGTGTGTGCCAGCTGGGGGACCCTGTCAGCATGGCTCTCTCTCTCCCCGAACAGCACGGGCCACACATCAGGGCCCCACACTGATGCTCTGCCCCTCATCCCTTCCCTTCAGCTCCCATCCAACTCTCCACACCTCATCCATGTTGGAGAGTCTATGCTGATGCACTCTGGGAGGTTAAGGTCCTCACTGGTAACCTGGACTACAGCAGTAGGAGGTGTTCATTCAAACTGAAA
This sequence comes from Homo sapiens, assembly GCF_000001405.40. NCBI lineage: Eukaryota > Metazoa > Chordata > Mammalia > Primates > Hominidae > Homo > Homo sapiens. Next base: position 126,896,940 of record NC_000003.12, on the reverse strand, counting down.
GGATGGGACAGGGAAAATGCAGGAAAGCAAGGGCCTGGGAAAGAAGTCTTAGGAGGTGAGGGCCCACCTCCACCACTCACTGTTTCCCTCTCCAGCCCCCATGTCTCCTCTGCGCTCCAGCTGGCTGGACTGGAGCAGCACCCACGAGTCCATATCCCCTTCGAGGGTCTGCTAGCCCACTCCTGCCCCTCCAGAGGTTGACATCTAGGGAAGCATGTCTCATATGAGAAGCCCCTGAACTCATTCCAGCTGATCTGATCACAGGGCAGCAGATCTACAGCCGGGTTGATCAGGTATGAGAAGAAGAGCTGGGCCAAGCAGATTTCCTTTGGGAATAAACCAAGAAGTGAGTGGCCAGTTGGCAATGGAGGTAATGCAAGAGGAAGTCATTAGGGTGGATTGAGGTCCACCAAAGATGAAAGGAACTCTGAGAGACCAGAAAAAGCAGATGGGCTATGTGGAGACTGGGCAGCAGGGAGCAAATACAGCTAAGCATAGAGCAGGCAGAGACCTGGCCAGGAGCTGACCAGAGCCCTGTCACCTCCTGGTTCTGGGCTATGTACATCTTTAAGATAAAGTTCATTTTATTGAGAAGACTACCCCAATCTAACTAAAGTACTTTTTGACAAAGTCCCAAAGAGCAGAGGAGAGAGAACATATGCCCTCCAGGGTGTAGGGGTTAAAGCTTGAAGTTGCCCAAGGCAAGGGAAGATAAAATTGCTTTGAAATTGCGTGTTTTATCTTGAAAAGTAACTTGACTTTTCCATGCTATTTCATAATATCAGTGTTTGCTTTAATATAAAAATAGCATCTCTCTCCTCAAAGCTTCATGTAAAACTGACATTCCAGGAAGATGTGCCCTTCCTAGGCTGTGGTTTCATATATTCCACCCTGGCAAATGAATAGGCAACCCTGGGGGCACAGAGACCCCGGGGTGGGACTTGCTGAGCTAGAACATCTCTCAGGGCCCTCCCAGCTCTCACTAGCACACCATAAGCCAGAGGCTTGGCAGTGAATAAACACCCTGTCCTTCGGTGCAGCAGAGGCAAGAGGTCCCATCTCTGACCCATCTTCTGTGTGGCAATCAGGCAGCTGCTGCCCTAAGGCCTTTCAGAAGGCTTTCACTCATGCCTATTCCTACCAACCTAAGTCACATGGCAGGATGCCAGAAGCAACTGGAAGGGGTGGGGGATGGGGTCAGCAAATACAGCAAAGGAACAAGTTTGGGGCCAGCAGGAGTCACACCCTCCTGCAACCAGCTCTGTTTCCATGCCTAAAAATAACTACAAAGGGACAAATACAAAATCTAGCAATTTCTAGGAAAACACTTGCTCTCCAAATAATGGGTGTTTGGCTCTGTTGCTCAAGACAGAGGGCCTTTCATGGGAACTTGAACACAAATTTCTACTGGCCCAAATGACATTTCCACCCAAGTATCTTGTGAACTCAACTTTAATGTGTGCAGAGGGCTATCATTTCCTCTCTCCAGTCCTCCCTCTTTTCTCCTGCTGCAAATAGCCCAGAATGATGGACACAGACGCTGCTGCTGATGAAATGCAGCCAGCCGGTAATGGTCATTCCTATCTGTCACCCCAGCACCCAGCCCCTCATGAAGCTCTTCCTTCTAAATAGCTCTCAGAGGAATCCTTTCCTTCCGCTAACTCACTGTGCCCTCCGGCAAGTCACCTCACCATTCCGGGTTCTAGCAAAATGAGGCAATTAGATCACATTGATTTGAAGGTTCCTTCCAGCTTGAAGAATCTACGATTTTAGCTATGCAACCATTAACAAGAATGAGAAAGGTTTATATATACAACAGAGAAAGAACTGCAAGATATCTTATTAAGGTGAAAAAAGCAAGCTGCAGAACAATATCGTGTGATTCCATTTGGGTAAAGTATATGCTTGAATATGCATTACAAATTTCTGAAAGGATAAGTAAGAAAGTGTTAATAGTGGCTACTCTCTGGTGAGTGGGATAAGGGGTTGGCAGAAAAGAGGTGTTCAATTTTGCATTGACTTAAATGTTTTACCATGTGCATATGTGGCTCTTTAAATTACATGAAGTGGTAAATGGAAAGCACCTTTTGTTGCACATGTCTTTGCAGTGCCTCCAGATCTCTCCTGCTGTCGCACATGCTGGAAGGACAACTGCAGTGCTGCTCCTGCTGCAGCTGTATGGCCCAGTCTGTGATCCCTCCAGACCTCCTTTATGTGCCCAACACCACCCCTTCACCAGCCTCCTGCTCCGTCTGCTGGGTGCTCACACTCAGTCTGCCTCCCACCGTGATGGGTGTGTGCTCACACTGGCTGGATGGCCTGTTGGGTGTCCTGGGCGGTGCTGAGGGTTGAGCACACACAGAGGAAGAAATGGGCCCTGCCCCTGAGAAGCAACTAGTCTGGAACAGAACTCCTCTCCCCTACCTCTTCCTGTCTTCCAAATGCTGCTCCCATCCATCCTGTTCCTTGCACAATAGCATCCTGCATTCCCTGCCCCTTTCTCCCTATGTTTAATGTCTGTCCTTTGTCTTGGAAAGGCCTGAGTTCTTCATGAGCCTCAAGTGGCCCCAAAGAACAGAGAAGCTGCTTCACAAAAAAGACCATGGACTTCATTTCCACAGACCCTTGTGGGCCCTCAGGAGAACCGTGGGCTCCTGGCTAACATAGAGGAAGGACCAGCCCCCAAGGGGCAGCACGTCACTTCTTTGAGCCTTCACTGCGCAGTGCCAGGTTGTGTCTAAGAAAAACACATGGCCTCAAGCAAGGGTGGGGACATTGGGTGTGCCATGGGGCATCTCAGGAGAAGTGTTTGAGGTGTTACCATGATGCAGCTGCCTCCCAGCTGAAGGAAGGACAATCACAAAGGTGAGGAAAACACAAAAACCTAACTAGGTAACAGCCAAGTGCAGCTTCCTAACTGGCTCTTCTGGGTAGAGCCCTGGAGGTGTGTTTGCAGCCCTCTCAGCAGCACAGCTCCCGCCAAGGGCAGGGCCATCTCAAAGCTCAGCTGCCTCCTCCTCTGCCAATCACCATCCCTTCTGGAGTTAGGGGCACCAGGACATCTAATGCACATCCCCCAGGAGCTGGCTGCTTCTCCCACAGCTTTCAGGCACCTGTTTTTGAGTGGTCTCTCTTCCAGGCCTAGGAGCTGGCCTACACAGGACACCCAGGATAGTCAATGCATCTGCACTCTGCTGAAGGGGTCTGGCCCAATCAAGCCATGTTTTAACTATCTCCCCTTAGCGGGGGTTCAGTGTTTCTCCCCAGGTAGAGCCCTGCTGGCTCTGGGGGTTCCTTTCATAGGCAAATTTCCCTATGGACTCAACCCCTGAATCTGGAGCCCTGCTATCATTGCATTGATGTCATTTTATCTTTTGTAATAAAGGACTAGGACTCTTCGGATTAATGGCTTTTATCGCAACTCCTGAGCAAGAAATGGAAACTATTAGGCATGCTCAATGTCTGTCTTGACCTCATTCAAGGAGGCCAGAGCACCGGTGGCAAGGCCGCCAATTCCCACAGGGCTAGACAAGGTAGAGAAAACGAATGAGTCACTCAGGGCTATGAGACACCTCAATGACAGAGTGGAGAGAAAAAACCTCCTATCCTCAGGAATCCAAATAATTATTTACTGTTCTATTCAAAGCCTAGAGATCACTCAATTAAAAATAAATCAGCTGGCTGGGCGCTGTGGCTCATGCCTGTAATCCCAGCACTTTGGGAGGCCAGCCGAGACAGCAGATCACTTGAGGCCAGGAGTTCGAGACCAGCTTGGCAAAACCCCATCTCTACTAAAAATACAAAATTAGCTGTGCATAATGGCGGGTCCCTGTAATCCCAGCTACTTGGGAGGCTGAGGCAGGAGAATCACTTGAACCCAGGTGGTGGACGTTGCAGTGAGCCAAGATTGCGCCACTGCACTCCAGCCTGGGAGACAGAGCAAGACTCGGTCTCAAAAACAAAACAAAACAAAACAAAACAAAACAACAACAACAACAAAAAAAGAAAAACAAAAACAAAAAAACAGCTGAAGAGACTTTCAGGAAATAAGAACTATTTGAGAAAAGCAAATCACGCCCAGTCAGCACCACTTTCACCTGAGACAGACACAATGGCAGGCAGAAGTGCTGGGCAAGGCATGGGTGCGCTGTGTTACAGCGGAGGAGCTGCGTTTGCTTTTAGGCCTCAAATCTAAGAGGAACAGAGTATGCCAGTTCCTCAGGAGTTTCTAAACTCATGTCTCATATGGAAATGAGAGTAAGGGAATACAGTCTGGAGAAGGGGGGGTTTATGCAGAGAAGGAAAGCAGTACAAATGCCATCTTCAGGGTCTTGAAAGCTGGACGTGGGCTAGGGATGGACCTGTGTGCCCCAGGAGGGCAGAAGAAGAACCACGCAGCAGGAATTTCAGGGGTGCCCAACGCTGAAGCAGCTCTAAGTCTCAGGGTTGTAGGCAAAGAAAGGAACTACATTGTGAAGTTGTGAGCACCCTGCGGCAGGAGAGACCAAGGTGAGGAGCCATTTATTGGGGATGCTGTGGAAGAATGTTCTGGATAGAGTCGGGGGCTGGGCTGGATGATGTGTATGGATTAGAAACCCACCTGGGTTATAATGTTTTCATGGCTGTTGTTTGAGGCTTTGCAGTCTCTTTAAGTCACAGCGCCTTAACTGAAGAACAACCAGCTCTCATGAGAGAGACTCCAGGCCTGTACAAGCATGGGACTCAGTGTTGGAGCTGAGCCCGCCCAGGCTGGCGCTGAAAGGGCCATAATGACAACCTCCAGAGGAGGACGAGCTGTAGTAGGCACAGAGGATCCCCCCGGTGTCTTGCTCAGAGCCGAGGTTTTGGGTCCCCATGAGAAAAAACATGCAACATGAAGGCTGTGAGACGTTGTCGCTGGCACCTGCCTGGGCCAAGGCCCCTGCGATGTCTGCCATAGGCTGCACAGGATGCTTCTCCTGGGCACTCCAGCTCAGTGACAAGCACAGGTGCTTCCCAAATGCCAGTGGCTTAGATTTCATTACCCCAGAACACGGGGCCACCGTCGCAGCTCTGGAACACAGCTAGCTCCAACTCACATGCCCCTTGCCACCAGCCTTTCTTCTCTCTCCCCACACCCAGTGGTTCAAGCCAGAAGCCTAAGGCTGCCCTTGATCTAGCTCTGTCTTACTTAACCCCTCAAGCCCATCAGTAAGGTGTCATTACCCCAAACACATTTCAAGCCCAAGCACTTCTCACAACCCCACTCCCTCAACCCTGGTTCCAGCCTCCCTGTTTCACATGGGATGGCTAAACAGCCACCTCCTAATGGATCTTCCAGGTTCCAGACTCACGCTACTGGCTTACCCTCCTCAAGGCAGCTGCAGCCATCTTCCCAAAGTGCAAAGTCATATCTGCTTCTCATCCCTGCAGGATGATCATGGAACTGCCTCCTGGTTCCTGCCAAGGCCTATCTAATAGGGCCCTCTTGCCCCTCACTGGCCTCACCCCTGCCGCCCATCTCCCACTCCCACTAGACTCCTGGTGCACCGGCCATCCCCCTGCCCTGTAAACCTGCAGGTGCATTTCCACCTCAGGGCCCTGCTGTCAGCTCTGCCTTCTGCTCAAGGATCTTCCCAGAGCTCGGGTCCAGATCTACTCCTCAGTCGCTTCCATGACTGCCACCTCCACATTCAGGTCTCAAGTGTCACTTGCTTAGGGAGGCTCCACAGCCCTAGCTAACACAACCCCCAGGCCTTTCCGACATGGTATACTTGGGGCTGCAGCACCCCACCGGCACCTGATACGTCTCCACAGCATGCTGGTCTACTGGCTGTCTCCCTGCTAGGGTATGTCCTGGGGAAGAAACAATGTCTTGTTTATTGCTAACTCCCCAGCACACAGGGCAGTGCCTGGTACACAGTAGCTACTAAAAATTCACCCCATCCCAATCCACCCTCTGGCCAAATTGCAATCCCACTGGGCGCTTCCTAAAAATCTCTCACATCCTTCTTCACTGAGAAATTCAGGACCATGTAGCTTCAATGCCTTCCCATCTCCAACATTCCCTCCCCACTCCCTGGGGAACCCCAGCCAAAGTGAGACACTGTGCCTTGGAGGGAAGGGCCATAGTCCTGAGGTGGACTAGGGACAGAAACAGGCTGAGAACCGCTGCTCAGAAATACACCTGGAAAAATCAAGGCACTGAAGGTGTTACTTATTAAGTTATATAAATAATCATAAAATCTTACAATGTTGCTTTAGTAGGGTTCTTAGAGAACACCTAGCACAGTGGCTTTTAAATTTAGGCTAAAGAACTGTTGTTCAAGTGGACTCTTACTCAGAAGCCCCACAGCTACAGAAATGCAGGTGCTGCTGCTTTGCGTATATGACACAGAGCCCAGTCCCTACTCTCATCCCCAACCTCTCCTCCTGACTCTGTCCCCCAGGGGCCTCGCAGAGTCCTGGGGCTGTACAGGCACAGTTCCATCAGTGGGTCTAATGGAACTAACCCAATGTGCCTGTTTTTAGGTGGGACACTGCAGCCCTCTCCCAATACTACCCTCCCACACCAAGCGAAAACCAAGGGACCTTGTGTGCCTGTGTCACCGAGCCTTGAGGGACCACAGCAGCCAGCAATGGGGGCTAGAGCTGGCTCCAGGCCCTACCCGCTCATGAAGGACACGTGCATGCCCAGGAAGTGGCTGAGCCTCCAGCCCTTGTTCAGCTATTGATGATTTCTGCAAAATGCTGACAACTCCCGGCTTCACCTACCACCAGCAAGACTCCTCTCAGCCGCACAGGAAACCCACCCACTTTCCAGGCGGCTGGCACATGGCCTAGGAAGGCCCCGACAGTGAGCTGGAGCACCTTGGGGGTCACCTCAAAGTCCCTCCACCTGGCCCTCTCCACATGGGCCATGCAGCCCACAGGAGAAAGGATGGCAGTTGTGGTCAGCCTCAGGCCTGGACAAAGCCCGTCAACGCTGTCAGCTCAGGGCTGCTGGTCCAGCCCCTTTGATGGTTCCTCTACCCAGGGTACCAACAAACCACAAACGCAGGAGCAGGGGCCACCCTCACATCTCCCTGCTGGAACGCTTTCTGCGGACCTGGTCAGAGACTGCAGACCAGGCACCAGGCCATCTGCTGGGGTTGCTGTGGCAACAGGCTCCTTCACATAAATGATATTCCTGACACTCACGGAGTCTCCAGCTCTCGAGACTCTGGGAAGGAGGTATAAAAAGGCAGAGGGAAAGAAAGATGTGCAGTGGCGGTATACAAGAATACCCTGCAGCAAGGATTCCTGTATCATAAAGGCAATGGCAGCCAGGAACATGGGGGCCCAGGTGGTTGGAGAGTGTGGCCACTGTGCACAGAGGCAAGTGTGATGGGCACAGTCTGCTCCTGCAGGCACCTGCCAGCCAGTGGCTCAGCAGGAGCTGGGTGGAGCTGCACAGCCCTGGTGGGTGCTGAGGAGCCCGAGTACCAAGGGCACCAGGTTGCTGGACTGCCAAGCCCAGAGCATGTCACCCCTTCCAGGCTGGGGTATAGCATGGAAGTGACTGGTGTGTGGGCTCCGCAGTGCCTCAAGTTCTGCAGGTATGGAAGCACAGGACGCTGGTCTGCAGCCTCCAGGGCAGCCCTTCTCAGTGACACATCAGTCATCTGGCACTGTGGCCCCAGCTCCTGCCACCACCTTCAGGCTGAAGACCACACCCCTCAGTGCCCTCAGCAGCCCTGCCCTGGGCCCTTCTCTCCACGTCACCTCTGATGCCCACCAGAGCTGCTTCCCTCATTCCTAGGCCTTCTAGTCCACCCCGACACCACCTCCTTCAAGAAACCTCCAAGGACCCAACACAGCTGGGCAGCCACCTGGGGCTTTCTGCAGTTCCCCACACCAACCCGTGCTGGTCACTCACCCACCACTCTCCTGAGGCTCCTAGCACCACACGAGGGACCAAGCCTGTTTTATGTGTCTCCACACCCATATAGAGACAACCGGAAGGCCTGCTGTGGGGCTAAGCACCACACGTGGGCCTCCCTGTGGCAGGGGCACCACACAGGGATGAGGGGTTGACTTGCCCACTTTCTCCCCAGAGCGGAAGCCCAGGGGACCCTCATGGTCAGCTCCTCACTCTCACAGGGGCTACCCAGCTCAGCCCCATGCAAAAATGTGGCCACGGGAAAACGAGCACTGCTCCATGGTGGGGGAGCAGGCACACCCCTGAGTGCACCCAGAGAGCAGGTCTATGCTTTGTCTCCACCATCCCTTCCTGTCTACTCACCAGACGAGGGCTGTCTCCCGTCCCTGGTGAAAACCTGGGGGCCCCAGATGGCTCTTCTGATCATTTTCAGAACACTCTCATCACTTGTCCAGGTGGCCTCCAGAAGCTCCTCCATCTCAGCAGGCAGCAGGTGGGGCACAGCAGGGGGAACATCCCTTATTGACCCTAGTGATATTAGCTGGAGTGCAGTGAGTGGCTTGGTGGCTGTCGCATGAGGAGTGGCTAAATGGATAAATACAATTAAGTGCAACAGAAGAGGAATTCTTCATTGTGCCTTAGCTCAGATGTTAGATAACAGAATATGTTTCAAGAGGCTCTTTATCAGCTAGGGCTAGATTCAGCTACAGATAACAGGAAGCCTATAGTCACAGCAGCTTAAACCACATGGAAGTCCTTTTCGCTCTACCAACTCTAAAAAGAAGCTGAGATGCAGGCAGTCCTGGTGGCATGGTAACCCCAGAGTCCGGAGGGCCTCCAGCTCTTCTGTCTTTCTGCTCTGCTGTCCTTGTGTGTGCCTTCCCTCCTCAAGGTCGCCTTCCCTTGAGGAGAGGGTACTGGAGCTCTCCCTCCCACACCCACACTTTAGTCAGCCAGAGAGAGGCAGCAGGCAGGACTCTGGCTGAGGGCCCCTCAGCAGCCCCCCGCTCACATATACATGACTAGAACAAAGTCCTCAGCCACCTTTAGCTGCAGAGAGGCTAGGAAGTGGATATTAGTAGGATTCTTTGCCACCCCAGATAAAAGTGGAGTTCTTATCTCAGTGAAAAGAAGAGTGGGTGTGGATTTAAGCTGGCAACTAGCATACTCTGGCCAGGCTCCAGATGTTCTGTGTCCGTGATTCTCATTCAGCAAAAAGGATGCTCCAGCTGGGTGGGAACCATTGACTGCTTGGATGCCTTCCTGGGTAGTCCCTATGCTGCGGCTGGTCCAATGTGGCCCAATGCACGGTGTTTCCGGGAGGCCACCGGGAAGCGGGGACATCACTTATGTTTTGGTCAGCATCTGGAGTCCCTGAAGGCCAGAACAGAAGGCCGATGGGAATAGGAGGCCCGAGTCAGAAGACATGGGTTTCAGGCTGCAACCCAGCCCAGGGACACTGGGCTACTCGCTGAACTTTTCTGGGGCCCTCTTGGGCCATAATACAGGGCTAGGGGGAGTAAGCCAGATCCTCCTGCATGAGAGCCAAGCCAGATCTTCCCACACGAGCCTCCACTTGCACCAGGCAGCTCTAGAACATGCATTGGCTGATAGAAACAATGGCACTAAATCTAAGAAGCCAAGACAT